>NC_000012.12:74429824-74581340 GCF_000001405.40 Homo sapiens
ATTTGCACTAAAACTCAGGAACAGTAACATTGAATTATTCTGATATTTTTAAATCATGGACAATCTCAGATTAAGATACTCTGTCCAGAGAGGTCAGGCCTCAACACACACACACACACACACACACACACACACCTAGTAACATAATTTGTGGTTTCTTTCAGTTAAAAATCATTCAGAAAATTTCCTCTAATACTTCCTCCCACACCTAAGAGTAATGACTATTTACTACTCCCCATTACTAAAAAAAATATGAAGTATTTCATTGAGGTGCAGTTTCCATTTATAATATTTGAAATAAAATTAACCTTAGATGCCAGTGACCTTGAATCTACCTCTTCTTAGTAAAACTTGGTAGGTATATTAACATGTGCTTAAACCTCAGCAATAAAATATGCTCACATGGCCATGCAAGCGAGTGCTTTCTGCAAAACTTTGTACATAATAATATAAAAAGTTATAACGTTAGCAGTTCAGAATTTGAAAGAGAAAAAACGGAGGATCAAAGCATTTAAAAAGAAATAGTACAAAAATTACCTAAACAAGAGCAGCAAAAGTGAGAAACCTATCACTCAAATTCAAATTTAAATTCTAAAACACCAAAAGCAATGGCAACAAAAGCCAAAATATACAAATGGGATCTAACTAAACTAAAGAGCTTCTGCACAGCAAAAGAAACTACCATCAGAGTGAACAGGCAACCTACAGAATGGGAGAAAATTTTTGCAACCTACTCATCTGACAAAGGGCTAATATCCAGAATTTACAATGAACTCAAACAAATTTACAAGAAAAAAACAAAAAACCCCATCAAAAAGTGGGCAAAGGATATGAACAGACACTTCTCAAAACAAGACATTTATGCAGCCAAAAAACACATGAAAAAATGTTCATCATCACTGGCCATCAGAGAAACGCAAATTAAAACCGCAATGAGATACCATCGTGCACCAGTTAGAATGGCGACCATTAAAAAGTCAGGAAACAACAGGTGCTGGAGAGGATGTGGAGAAATAGGAACACTTTTACACTGTTGGTGGGACTGTAAACTAGTTCAACCATTGTGGAAGTCAATGTGGTGATTCCTCAGGGATCTAGAACTAGAAATACCATTTGACCCAGCCATCCCATTACTGGGTATATACCCAAAGGATTATAAATCATGCTGCTATAAAGACACATGCACACGTATGTTTACTGTGGCACTATTCACAATAGCAAAGACTTGGAACCAACCCAAATGTCCAACAACGATAGACTGGATTAAGAAAACGTGGCACATATACACCATGGAATACTATGCAGCCATAAAAAATGATGAGTTCTTGTCCTTTGTAGGGACATGGATGAAACGGAAACCATCATTCTCAGCAAACTATTGCAAGGACAAAATCCAAACACCGCATGTTCTCACTGATAGGTGGGAATTGAACAAGAACACATGGACACAGGAAGGGGAACATCAGACACCGGGGACTGTTGTGGGGTGGGGGGTGGGGGGAGGGATAGCATTAGGAGATATACCTAATGCTAAATGACGAGTTAATGGGTGCAGCTCACCAACATGGCACATGTATACATATGTAACAAACCTGCACATTGTGCACATGTACCCTAAAACTTAAAGTATAATAATAATAAAATAAAATAAAATAAAATAAAATAAAACATTTAAATTCTCATTCTGATTTTTAAAATATTGGATGTCTGTGATCTAGGTGATCTGAAATGTCTTCTAGCATTTAACTATAATGAATAATTCAGTTTATGCTCCTGAATTAAAGATTAATTAGTTATATACCTTACACTAGGCCAGAGGTATTAATCCTATATTACTGTTTCAGTTATCTAGTGCTGAGTGACAAACCAATCCCAAATCTTAGTGGAATAAATGAATAACTTTATTAAACTCCAGACTTCATGGGTCAGGAATATAGACAGAGTTCTCTCTAATCTGCAATGTCCGAGGCCTCAGCTGGAAAGACTGAAAAACTGAGGACTGGAATTATCTAGAGGAGCCTTCACGTGCATGCCTGGAAGCAGATCCTGTCTCTTCCCTGGGATCTCAGCTGAGGTTGACAATCAGAGTTGCATGCACCCTCTCCATGTGGTTGGGGTTTCATCACAGCATGGTGACTGAGTTCTATAGCAAGCACCTCAAGATGACCAAGCAGAAGTGATATCATCTTTAATGACCTCCCCTTAGTCACTTTTACTATAGCTATAGTTCCACTTAGATTCACAGGATGACATCAGCCCCATCTTTCATGGAGGAACTGTCAAAGTCATACTGGAAGAAGATCATGTGGGAAGAAATACTACATTGCAACTATATTGGAAAATACACTCTGTATTATTAACTAAGAAGGGGAGGGAAGCAAGCAGTGATCTTTGGGGTAGTTTTTCAAAGTAGTTGAATGTAAGCAAAATGAACATTTATTAGGTTGTATATTCTTTAAGATTATTTGTTTGTTTGATTATTTGTTTGTTTGTTTAATCTGAGTTGAAGCCACAGTGAGCTTTAGAGATCAGACTAAAACAAAACAAATGAATCTATGTCAAACTTGAGAGGCAATGCCAGATAGTGGTCCAGGGCATGGATTCTGACACCAGATGACTGAGTTACAGTCCTGGCATCAACACTCACTAGCTATGTGACTGCAGGCAAGTTACCCTCTCTATGCCTCAGTTTCTACCTCTAAAGGGTTATGATAATGTCTGTTAACTTGTTGGGGGATACAGTAAATTAATATTTGTGAATACTTAGAACAGTGCCTAAAACATAAGCATTATAATGAGGTAAATAAAAACATTATAGCAACACCTCTAAACCCAAGCAACATAAAAATCTGAAATACTGGTTTTATTTTTAACCTCATGACACTTGCCATTTATTTTCTCTGTGCAAATCACTTTCCAGAAGTGCAAACTAGGCATCTTGATCTGGCAAAGGTGTCATCAGTAGAAAATTCTACAGAGACCTCCCCAAATAAGATATATTGTAGCTAATGAGTTAGCTAAAACACTTCCAGGGGAAAAAAAAAAGCACAGAAACAGTTAAACAGAGCACAGTTATATCTAGCCTGATTCTCTGATAAAGTTCATAAGTATGCATGCGGAAGTAAGAAGATCATCTATTTATTCTCCTCTAAGGTAGTGACAAGAATTTCTCTACTGGTGAATTTGCAATTAAAATATTCTCTATCCCAGGCACAAATATTGAGCTTTATCTGCTGTCTGCACTCTGTCCATTACATAAACCTTGTGGAAATAAATGACATTCCCTTGTGCCACTATTCCTACCACATAAACTGTCATTTTAAATGGCAAGAGATTAAGAAACCTCTGAATACTGAGTTTTCTGATATTTTCAGAGTAAGTAAGTTGCAGTGAGAAAAATTAACTTCCTCTATCAAAGGAATGTTATCAGTAATCCTGCCTAAATTGAGAGCAAGGCCATCCATGGAGCTACACACAATCATTACATAATATGTTTAGAACTCAAAATCCGGCCAATTAATATTTGGCGTAAACATTTATTGTCAAAGGAAAAGGATGGAATATCATCTAAAAATGAAACTGAGGCATAGTCATAAGAGGGAGAGGAATAATTTTTGACACCTTGTTGCTTATGGATTCCAACATGCAACTGCAATCAAAAGGATAGTATTTTCTTAAAAATATACACTCTCTCAAAAATGAGTCATTCCTTTAAGAAATAAATACATGCTAGGGTTTATAATGTGAACGCGTAGTCACTGTGAATATAATAGTAAACAAAAACTTATGTGTTCTCTACCCTCTTAGAGTGCACAGTCTAGTGAGAGAGAGATTAGATAAGTAAATCATCCCATAAACAGAAAAAACTGGAGATTTGGTAAATATTGCAAAGTAGATTTAATGGGGAGTAGTATGGTTTGGCTTTGTTCCCACCCAAATCTCATCTTGAATTATAGTTCCCATATTCCTCACATGTCATGAGAGGGACATGATGGAAGGTAATTTAATCATGGGGGTTGTTACTCTCATGCTGTTCTTGTGATAGTGAATGAGTTCTCATGAGATCCAATGGTTTTATAAGGGGCTTTTCCCCCTTTGCTTGGCACTTCCCTCTCCTGCCACCATGTGAAGAAGGACATATTTGCTTCCCCTTCCACCATGATTGCAAGTTTCCTGAGGCCTCTCCAGCCATTCTGAACTGTGAGTCAATTAAACCTCTTTCCTTTATAAATTACCCAGTCAGGGGTATTTCTTCATAGCAGCATGAAAATGGACTAATCCAGTAAATTGTTACTGTGCAGTGGGGCACTGCTGTAAAAATACCCGAAAATGTGGAAGCGACTTTGGAACTGGGTAATAAGCAGATGTTGAAACAGTTGGGAGGGCTCAGAAGGAGACAGGAAAATGTGGGAAAGTTTGGAACTTACTAGAGACTTGTTGAATGACTTTCACCAAAATGCTGATACTGATATGGACAATGAAGTACAGGCAGAGGTAGTCTCAGATGGAGATGAGGAAATTCTTGGGAACTGGAGTTCTCAACAAGATGACTCTTGTCACCTTGTGACTCCTGTTACAAGGTGACTCTAGCAACGCAAACAGACTGGCAGCATTTTGCCCCTGACCCAGAGATGTGTCGAATTTTGAACTTGAGAGAGATGATTTAGGGTATCTGGAGGAAGAAATTTCTAAGAGGCGAAGTGTTCATGAGGAAGCAGAGCATAAAAGTTTGAAGAATGTGCAGCCTGATGATGCAGTAGAAAATAAAAACTCATTTTCTGGGAAGAAATTCAAGCAGGCTGCAGAAATTTGCATAAGTAATGAGGAGCAAAATGATAATCACCAAGACAATGAGAAAAATGTCTCCAGGGCATATCAGAGACCTTCACAGCAGCCCCTCTCATCACAAACCTGGAAGCCTAGGAGGAAAAAATGATTTCCTTGGCTGGGTCCAGGGCACCCCTGCTGTGTGCAGTCTAGAGATTGTTGTCCTGCATCCCAACCATGGCTAAAAAGGGTCAAGGTACGGCTCAGGCTATTGCTTCAGAGGGTTCAAGCCTTGGCAGCTTACACATGGTGTTGGGCCTTGAGTGCATAGAAGTCAAGAATTGAGTTTTGGGAACCTCCACCTAGATTTCAGAGGATAAATGGAAACTCCTGGATGTCAAAGCAGAAATTTGCTGCAGGGGTGGAGTCCTCATGGAGAACCTCTGTGAGGGCAGTGTGGAAGGAAAAGGTGGGGTCAGACCCCCCCACAGAGACACCACGGGGGCACTGCCTAATGGAGCTGTAAGAAGAGGGCCACTGTCCTCCAGATCGCAGAATGGTAGATCCACTGATATCTTGCACCGTGCACCTGGAGAAGCTATAGACAGTCAACAGCAGCCCATGAAAGCAGCTGGGAGGGGGCTGTACCCTGCAAAGCCACAGGGGCAGAGCTACCCAAGACCTTGGGAGCTTTCCTCTTGTATCAGCGTGACCTGGATCTGAGATCTCATAGGAGATCATTCTGGAGCTTTAAGGTTTAATGACTGCCCTGTTGAATTTCAGACTTGTATGGGACCTGTAGCCCCTTTGTTTTGGCCAACTTCTCCCACTTGGAATGGATGTATTTATCCAATGCCTGTACCCCCATAGTATCTAGGAAGTAACTAACTTCCTTTCAATTTTACAGGCTCATGGGTGGAAGGGATTTGCCTTGTCTAGGATGAGATGTTGAACTTAGATTTTTGAGTTAATGGGTTAAGACTTTGGGGGACTGTTGGAAGGGCATGATTCTGTTTTGAAATGGGAAGACATGAGATTTGGTAGGGTCCAGAGGCAAAATGACATGATTTGGCTGTGTTCCCACTCAAATCTCATCTTGAATTATATTTCCATAATCCCTGCATGTTGTCGAAGGGACCCAGTGGGAGGTAATTTAATCATGGGGACAGTTACCCTCCTGCTGTTCTTGTGATACTGAGTGAGTTCTCATGAGATCAGATTGTTTTATAAAGGGCTTTTCTATTTTTGCTGAGCACTTCTCTTTCCTGCCACCATGTGAAGAAGGACGTGTTTGCTTCCTTTTCTGCCATGATTGCAAGATTTCTGAGGCCTCCCCAGCCATGCTGAACTGTTAGCCAATTAAACCTCTTTGCTTTATAAATTACTCAGTCTCAGGTATGTCTTTATTAGCAGTGTGAGAACAGCCTAATACAGGGAGATCTGCTCTAGTGAGGGATGTCAGGGTATTAAGTAAAAATTAACTTGATAAAGAGGCTATGGGCAGCTGCACTGCCCCAGCAGAATGAAGGGCATAATCAAAACCTTCAAAAATGGAGGGGATTAGAGGTGTTGAGAAACTGAGATTGTGTATTCAGTTACTAGAAGGAGTGACACGTGGGGCTGACGGAGTGTCACAGGGGCAGGGAGGCACCAGATCATGCAGTTAGTTGTTATTTCTACAATTTCCACACTGTAACTAAATATTTCTTTGATTGATGGTAAACTTTGCAGTGCCCTTGAAACAGTATTTCCCCCAAATCTGAAGTCCATGTTAAGGACTTTTTCCTTATCCTGAAAACAGTTATAATAAAAGCCATTAACGTGTCTTAAACCAAAGACATTACATGTTCAAAAATTGTATGTTCAGGCTTGGGTTTTGAAAATTCTCCCGGGCCATCAGGAAGCAAGGAACCAGAGTAGATACAATTTAAACTAGTATTTGGGCAGACGAGATGGAGAGAGATAGACTCAGAATTATGTCTTTCTCTAACATTTGCTTTTATGCACTTGGGTACCAACTAAAGTCAAAGTCATTGCAAACTCTGTCATGCCCCTCATTTTAAATACTCCATGGCCTCCTAAAGAGCTAACAGATCTATCTCTTTGTTCATGCCTTCATTATCGATGGCATGAATTGCCATGAATTTCTTCTAATTTTATTTCTTCAGCCAACGATCAGCCTGGGGAAGGAAGTGGGGTTTGCAAGCCAGTTAAAGAGTTCTCCAAATGACTTGAGCTTTCTATGGTGGTAGCAGCCTTTCCACTAATAATTCTAGATCTGTGCTAATGTAATTAATCCAGACTAATAGAGGAAATAGGGAAATAATGGAGAAAAATAAATAGTGAAGAGATGAGAAGCCAAGCATGTTCTAGGTCAAGAGTGGACAGACATGAAGGTGTTTGGAGCTTTGAAAGGAAAATAAATTTACTAGTCAGAACCCTTTGGAGTCCAACAAATTGTAACACAACTCAGCCTGGCTTATATAATAAAAAAACCCATAACTAAATCAACTTTAGACCTGGCTCTATCAAGCTTGTCAAGCTATATCTTTAAGAAATTATGTATCCCTGACTCTTTCTTTTGTACATATATGTATGTGTGTATATATATATATACACACACACACACACACACACACACACACATATATATATACTTTAATCTGAGTCGTTATTTCCCCACAAAGTGTCAAAAATGACCAACAGCAAATCAAGACTTGGATTTTATGATTTATTAACTTCAGAGAAAAAGAGCATGTTTCTTTCCTGATGGTGCCATGCAAAATTCCTGAAGTTGATTGTCCTTGGATTGATACATATGTGTATTCTTGAATTAATTACTATAAATCTGATTGACCATAGCTAGTCAGCACTACCTGCAATACATAAGTTAAAAGTGAATAGTGGACAATACATCAAATGTATTGAGGTGCTTTTACCAGTAAAATAGGATCTAGAAAGTAAAAGCTAACTTGAGCCCAGTAAAAAACAGCATTAATAAATCAACTGATGGCAGAGCTAGAGCAGCTGTGTTCTTTTTTCTCCCCTTCTGTTGCAAGTAGAAAGGTAACCTGATAGTTTTTCAGGTAGAGTCAAGAGTCACAGAAATTAAATGGATGACAAACTAATCTCCTTCTCTTTATCTATCTAGGAAATCCTCTCTTCATTCAGACCTATATTATAAAACAAAGATTGGTCATATCACTTCTATACTTAACATGTTCTAATGACATGTAAGTCCCCTTACGATCAAATCTCAACGTGACCCTAGCCCAAACTCTTTTCTACCAGAAAAATGCAGACAACTTTTACGTTTCAAATGGATGCCATTTCACAATTGTGTACCACACTATTCCGCTTATCTGAATTGCCCTTTCCTTTTTACTACTTGGCTAGTCAACATACAGATTCATTTTAGTATGTGCTAATTTCCCACTCCAAGGTAACTATATCTTACACAAGACTTGCAAGGAATTGATAGAGAAATGTTAGGAAACCTTCTAAGATTACTAAGGAGAGAATCTCTGTTTATAGTTAACTTCTTCAAACTCTGTTGCTCCCTTCTCTTGGGAAATATCTTTGGGTCTAATCAGATAACTCCAAGCCAACAGATAGTGGAACACAAAAGGACCTTGTTACCTAGTTTATCAAGCCCTTTACAAATACCTAGACCCTATTTACCTCCCATCAAATGAAAAAAATAGGCAAAAGAAATACTAATTTGACTAGGCTTTCCCCTGTCAAGAATGAGCAGTAATAACATCTGGTCTGCAATTCATTTATACTTCTCTTTACCCATCCTAGCAACTTAAAACCTCCTTTTATCTTTATTACTAGCAATTGCCCCTTTTAGGAATATTCCTATAATCGTGATCATTCAGAAAGAATTCAGAGTTCCCTAACTACACAGAGCTCCCAATTCAGACTTCTGTAACATAACTTATTTGTCCGGGTTTTGATTTTCTCTTTATTGATCTCCTCCATTGTACTGCATGTATTTGCAGATCAAAGGCCCCTTCTTTAATTCCTAGAACTCTGCAAAATTTATACTTAATAAATTGTTTACACAGATAAATGAACGAAAGCAGACATGGTGGATGGATGGACAGATTGATGTTATCACGGATACTGTTGTTGCTCACCATGGCCCCCTTTACCAGCTATGCCACAGTGCTTCCATGCCATGTGGTTGAGAATCTTCACTCTAATAACAGTTCATAGCTACTCCTTCTCTTGAGAAATCCCCTTCTTTCCTTGTCTCACAATCTCAGACCCTGGCCAATGATGGACTAGAGGGGAATACAGAAGGCTGACTCTCTTGCTGTAGGTGGAAGTAATTCTATGGTGCAATTTGTGCTGCAGACTATTCCTCACGTATCAGACTTAAGCCAGTCTCCAGGTGAGATCATACCTATGGTTATGTTTCCCCCTGCCTTATCCTTTTTTTCTTATATCCCTTATGCTTAGAGCACTTCTGCAAGAAATCATTTGAACAAGAATTCCCTTGGGTCATATTCTCCTTCTAGACAACCTGTTCTAATACAAATAAATAGATGAATGAACAAATTAACAGATGATTGATTGAACAGACGAAGCAGCACTTTTAAGAGAATATGTGAGTGTAAAAATTTATTAATGGCAAGACTACTAGCAAGAATGTACCCTGAATACATCATCTGAACTTACAGCTAAAAGATCTGTGACAAAATTGGGGAGAAATCAGATGCAGACATAAAACCGGCTGTACTTGAAGCTTGGCAATCAAGTCTAAAAATGGGGTTAGACCCAATGAACATATGTAATTAATTAAAAAGCATACAGGTGAGTAGGTCAGACTTAGACAGCACTTCAATAATAGATAAGAAGTATAGAACAGGACACAGAAGCTGATAGGATCCAAGTAGATGGCCTAAGTATCAGGTAGAAATCTGAAAAATATCTCAACCAGAGGAGAAAACAATTTAAATTATTCACACATGTTTTTCTGAGAGGAAGAACCAAAGCCAAAATACAGAGATGTCATTGATCATTCTGAAGGATACACCACATGTTAGGTGACAAGACAAGTCTAAAAACATTCAAAAAATTGAAATAATATCAAGCATCTTCTCTGACCACAGTGCAATAAGTCTAGAAATCGCTAGTAAGAGGATTTTTGAAAACTATACAAATAATTAAATTAAACAATATGCTCCTGAATGATCAGTAGGTCAATGAAGAAATTAATGAGGAAATTGAAAAATTTCCTGAAACAAATGATAATGGAAACACAGCATACCAAAACCAATGAGATACACCAAAATCAAACTTATAGCTATAGTTTATAGCTATAAGTACCTGTGTCAAAAAAAAAAGAAAAACTTCAAATAAGCAATCTAACAATACATCTTAATGAACTAGAAAAGCAATAGCAAATCAAAGCCTAAATTATTAGAAAAAAGAAATAATAAAGATCAAAGCAGAAATAATGAAGTTAAAGTGAAGAAAAAAACAATATAAAAGATCAATGAAGCCAAAAGTTGGTTTCTGGAAAAGTTAAAAAAATTTGACAAACCTTCAGCCACACTAAGAAAAAAAGAGAGATAATCCAAATAAATAAAATCAGAGATAAAAAAGGAGACATTACATCTGATACCACAAAAATTCAAAGGATTATTACAGGCTACTTTGAGCAACTATATGTTAATAAATTGGAAAATCTAGAAGAAATGTACAAACTCCTAGACATATACAACCTACCAAGATTAAACCATGAAGAAATCCAAAACCTAAAGAAATCAATAACAAGTAGTGAGACCAAAGCTGAAATAAAGTCTTCCAGTATAGAAAATTCTGGAACTCAATTGCTTCATGTTGAATTCTACCAAATATTTAAAGAACCAATACTAATACTACTTAAATTAACCTGTAAAATAGAGGAGGAAGGAATACTTCCAAACTCATTCTAAGATGCCAGTATTACCCTGATACCAAAACCAGACAGACACATTAAAAAAAACTACAGACCAATATCTATGTTGAATATTGATGCAAAAGTCCTCAAAAGGATACTAGCAAGCCAAGTTCAATAATACATTACAAAGGTCATTATGATCATGTGGGATTTATCCCTGTGATGCAAGGATGGCTCAAAATACACAAATCAATCAAAGTGAGATATCATACCAATAGAATGAAGGACAAAAATCATATGATCATTTCAATTGATGCTGAAAAGCATTTGGCAAAATTCAACATCACTTCATGCTCATAGGGAGAATATACCCTAATACAATAAAAGCCATATATGACAGACCCACAGCTAGTATCTTACTGAATGGAGAGAAACTGAAAGCCTTTCCTCTAAGATCTGGAACACAACGAGGATGCCCACTTTCACCACTATTATTCAACATAGTACTGAAAATCCTGACTAAAGCAATCAAACAAGAGAAAAAATCAAAAGCATCCAAATTGAAAAGAAAGAAGTCAAATTATCCTTGATTGCAGATGATATAATCTCATATTTGGAAAAACCTAGACTTCACAAGAAAACTATTAGAACCGATAAATTTAGTAAGCTTGTAGGACACAAAATCAATATACAAAAATCAACAGCGTTTCTACATACCACCAGTGAACAATGTGAAAAATTTAAAAAGTAATCCCATTTACAATAGCCACACATAAAACTAAATGCCTAGGAATTAACCAAAGAAGTAAAAGATCTCTATAATGAAAACCATGAAACACTGACGAAACTTTCCATATGACCACTGAAATTATTAGTCAACTGTCTCTGTCCCCATAAAAAAGTGTTTGGTTTATGATGTGAAATGTGTATGTGATAATATGGAGCAAATATAAATATCCGGAAATAATAATTATTAAACATATTTTGAATATCTGGGTAATCTTCCCCTGTAACAGATCATTCTCATTAGCTACAGGATAAATTTAAATAAACCTAATTACTCTAATTTGATCATTACACATTGTATGCTTGTATCAGAATATCATATGTACCCCATAAATATGAACAACTATTACATATCCATAAACATTAAAAGAAGTTTTAAAATTAAAAAATATTTTTTAAAAATTAAAAATTCAATAAACCTTCAGTACTGCAAAGGGGTGTAAGGGATTAGAAATGCTATAACCCCAGAAGAAACCCCAAGACTTCCAATGGCAGAAACACAATGAATTCAGAGGGAAATTGTCACTCAGTGTGTTGTAGGTTAGATTCTCCCAAAACAGACTTTAATGAGATGAGATCTGAATGCAGGAACTTATTGGGTTGTGATCTCCGGAATGCCTCCAGTTAAAAAGAGAGAGAGAGAGAGGAGAATCCAGCAAATGGAGAAATTAAACTACTGATGCAATTGAAGCAGAAGCCTCAGGTAATTCCATGGGCACGCCGAAGCTGAAAGCATCCTGCATAGAGACGTAAGGAATTGAGGGAAGAGGCTGGGAACCTTGTATCTCAGCAGGGAGCAATCATTGTATGTGGGTTGTCCCCAGGGAGGGGATAAAGGGACTCAGCTATGAACCTTTGGCTATCTATATCCTAGCCCCTGAGGATCTGGGCAGTACCCAGCATTAAGGACACCTGATGAGAAAGGGAGAAAGTGTGTGTGTGTGTGTGTATGTGTGTGTCTGTGTAGCACCTATGCATTTCACCATCTTAGCTTCCCTATTTGAAACACAGCTACTTTTTTTCTTTTTTCTATATGCTTGCTTCTGCAACACACAGACGATCAAAACGTTCTCAAGGGATTAAAATTCAAACAGCCTTTGTACAATAATGGTGTTTTTATTCTCACAGTTTTATCCCATAGGGACATTTACAACCTCCCTTAGTAAAATTCTAACTATAACTGAAGCAGCAGAGGAACATGTTTTCTGCAGATTGGTGTAATCCTTTTTCATCAGACACTATTAAGATTTGCCAAACTCAATCTTGTATTTTAAACCTTGTTTGACTTTCATCTAGAAATATCAAACATTTTAGAAGCATTCTCCATAAAGAACCAAAATAATGTCTTGTGACAAGCTAACAGTCCCATATAAAATCCAAGTTTTATACAGGGTGAAAAATAAGTAATCTAAATTCCACTCATTAAAATTTTTATGCAGAATGACTACACTGAAATTATACAAAAACTCTTCCCACTTACTATTGATTAAAAATCCCCAGGAAGTGATTAATTTGATTTGTAAATTTTAATCAGAATATCCTAATTGTTCATAACCTGACACTGGCTATCATTGAGTTTAGTTGGTTTTACCTGTAATATGTGCCTCTAAAATCCATTTTGAATAACTTATCAAAACTAAGTAACATTTGTGTCATCCATCACAATATGATTTTTGTTAGGAAATTATTTTTATAGATTTTCATGAGGTTTGCATATTCTCTTCTCACAGAACTTCTGGTGTCTGAAACACTAAATTTTCTCTAAAGGCCACGTTCAAAAGACAAAGTGCATCAATATTTCGATTAATGCAAAACCTCATTAATTCAATGTTAGCAAATTATACTGGTGTCTTACATTGGGTTCTTTGGGCAAGAGACTGTCAGAGTATAATAAACTGCATGAAGGCAGTTTATTGGGGAATGCTCTCAGCTTTAGTGCCTAGGCAGAAATGAGAGAAACAGCACTGGCCAGAGGCAGAAGTTAATCCTCCATGCAGTTCCAGCAAATATCTCAATATATTCTTAAGAGAGCTCTGGAGTTGGGATAACCTTTCAGAGTTGTCCAGAATTGAAACAAGGAATTTGGTTTGTCTTTATAAACTATGCATCGAAAATATAAACTGAGCATGGGGAGAGGATGTAATCTTGGGTACAGCATCACACTGGGCTTTTACACAATCCTAGAGAGAAACTGATTTGAGAGCAGTCAGCCTGCAAAACTGCAGGAAGCTGGAGGAATAAGTGCCTCAATCCTATAGGGAGGTGGTCTAGGCAGGCTGATCATCATAGTCATCACTACATTTGTTGAGATTTCCTTCTCTTCACACCAATTTCTGTTTTGAGAGTGTTTATCAAGCTCATTGTGGTAGTCACATCTTGTCTCACCTCTGCTAGGATTTAAGCTGCATCTGAGCATGGAGCATGTCTGTAATTTTTGCTGCTGCACCCCTAACACCTAGAATATTTGCTGGCACATAGTAGCTTGCTAAACTTATATTTAATAAATGTATGGATAAAACAAGGAAACATGATATTTTAAAAAATAATGAACTTGGAAGTTCTGTTATTGGACTTTTTTGATGCAGTAACACAACATTTTAAGGTGACTTTATGAGTTACTCCACTTTATGGCCTTCTGGGATCTGTAAGGCTCACTATTCTTATGGGATCATATCAGTTATAAGCAGACTAATTTGCTTATTTTAAAAGCTGGAAAAACATCCCACACTGACAACACGTTAGGTCAATTTTTTAAAAAAATGTGCTAAGTCACCGACTTCAGAGGAAACACTGGAATAAACAAAACAAATCTTACGTTTCTAAGAGTGAGATGAAATAAGAAAAGAATTAAGGTTTAACGAAACAATACACCAAAGGCAAATTGTGCAGATTCTTGGGTATCCAGGCTTCTCTACTCAATAATGTTAATCTGATGAATAAAACCAAATGCAAATAAGCAGTTAAGATTTAAGATCCAACATCATGTTATTATATCTAGCTAGCATTTTTGTGTGTGGTATGGAAAAAAGGAGGAGTTTGAGAAAGGTTTGTGCTTAATAACTTTGCTTAATCTGTTTCAAACCTTCTTCCTTTTCTTCAGTTTAACCAGTATTAGCTTCACTCACCCCACCTCCACCCACTTCTATCTTGAGGTCTTTATACTTGCTATTCTTTTTGGCAGAAATACATGTATTACCATTGTTGCCTCCTTCCTATCATTCAGGTTTCAGCTTAAATGTAATTACAATAAGGAAGGCTTTTAAGCTGTTCAATGTTAAGTATCCACCAAAAAAGCTCCACAGCATCAATTCATTGCATAGCTCTTTGAGCTATGTTATGTGATCTTTAGATATATTATCTGTCTCCACTGTTAGGATTTAAGCTCCATGCAAGCAAGAAAAGTGTCACCAGTACTGAGACTGAGTAACTGTGATGCAGTCAAAATCATAATAAATATTTTTTAAATGGTGCTCATACAATACATGGGTGTTATGTGCCATGTGATGAGGAATTACTTATACATTTATTTATATTTTATAAATATATGAGCTCCATCCTCACATGGCCTTATATAAGAATAATCTTATAAATTAGGTATTATTGTCCCCATATATCAGATTAAATAAACTAAGTGTTCCTAAATTTATATACCTTGCCTCTTCTACCTGTTGACAGTACACCATGAGCAGAAACAGGAATATAATGCATTGGATATTCTTGTTCTAGGATGTGCTGGATTTTTGAAAACTACCTTGTGTTACCAAAGATTATCTTTGTTTTAGCAACAAAGGAGGTTGAAAAAACCCATACTGGTAAGGAGAAATTATTTTGCAATATTTATTTGGCATAGATGCAATATTTCTTCTATCATCATTCCATTTTTATCAGTCATAGAGTCCTATTTATTTAAATTTTTCTTTTCTGTGGAAGGTACCTCATGATCTCTCTTAGCATTCCATTCTCTAGCTTATGTCCTAGTTCTAGCTTCTTTACAATCATTTTATAATTAGTAATCATATTTAAAAATATTGATATATGTTTTAGGATTTCTTAATTTATGTAATAAATATTTATTATATTATTCTTATGTACCAGATACTGTACTGGAAAAACAGTATGAAGAATTAAGCTTATATTCTGGTGGAGGAATAATAAACTCTTGTTTGTTCTTACTCCTATACCACTGATACAGACTGTATTTGATCAATTTCACTTTAGCATTTATTATTTTGACCTATATTCATTGATAGCCTACTAAGTGTAAAAAATATGGAGGCCAGGCACAGTGGCTCACGCCTGTAATCCCAGCACTTTGGGAGGCCGAGGCAGACGGATCACAATGTCAAGAGACCGAGACCATTCTGGCCAACATGGTGAAACCCTGTCTCTACTGAAAATACAAAAATTAGCTGGGCGTGGTGGCGCACACCTGTAGTACCAGCTACTCAAGAGGCTGAGGCAGGAGAATCGCTTGGTCCCGGGGGCTGGAGGTTGCAGTGAGCAGAGATCGAGCCATTGCATTCCAGCCTGGCGACAGAGCGAGACTCCATCTGGAAAAAAAAAAAAAAAGGAGGAATTTAGGATATAGATATAAAGACACGATACCTGCTCTTGAGAATCTCACAGAAAATGGGAAAGAGAAGAAAATATATATCATATAGTATAAGAAAAATCACAAAAAATGTTCATATTCTTGACAATATAGTGAATAACCAAAAGATACTGTCTTCCTCAAGCCTACTTGTGGAAAAAAATAATCTATTAAAGAGAAAAAACATGGCTCTAAGGAATCAACATCAAAACTGTGCTAACCTCTGGGAAGATTAAAAAATATCAAATGGTGGAAGGGCGTGGTGGCTCACGCCTGTAACCCCATCACTTTCGGCGGCCGAGGCGGGTGGATCACGAGGTCTGGAGATCGACACCACGGTGAAATCCTGTCTCTATTAAAAAATACAAAAAATTATCCAGGCGTGGTGGCGGGCGCCTGTAGTCCAACCTACTCTGTAGGCTGAGGCAGGAGAATGGCGTGAACCCGGGAGGCGGAGCTTGCAGTGAGCTGAGATCATTCCACTGCACTCCAGCCTGGGCGACAGAGTGAGACTCCGTTTAAAAAAAAAAAATTATATATATATATATATAGTTATATATATATAGTTATATATATATAACGTTATATATATAAAGTTATATATATAACGTTATATATATATATATCTCAAATGGTGAGTGACAATAGCAGTGGAAGTCTTAAATTAGGTGAAGATTTAGTATAGTTGCAGGGCTCTGTGAAGAGAGTATAGGTTGGGTGAAAGCTTTTAAATTCTTTTCTTGCCTGAGCTCCACATTGCCTTTGGGCAACTATCACCACCGTGGACTAGGAACTGGCAGCAGCTGCTTGGTGCAAAGTTCAAGCCCTCCAGCAGTGATAAACTGATAGGAGGCCAGGGTTAGGCATTCATTCCTCTGAACAATTATCTCCAAAACCTGTAAACTGTTGGAGGACCACCTATAATATTAAAGAGATTGCCTTCTCCATGTCTTGCCTCTTTTAAAGGAAAATACAATTTCTTTTTTTTCTTTTCTTTTTTTTTTTTTTTGAGACGGAGTCTCTCTCTGTCGCCCAGGCTGGAGTGCAGTGGCGCGATCTCGGCTCACTCCAACCTCCACCTCCTGGGTTCAAGTGACTCTCCTGCCTCAGCCTACGGAGAAGCTGGGATTACAGGCACGCACCACCACTCCCGGCTAATTTTTGTATTTTCAGTAGAGACGGGGTTTCACCGTGTTGGCCAGGCTGGTCTGAAATTCCTGACCTCGAGTGATCCGCCAGCCTCGGCCTCCCAAAGTGCTGGGATTACAGGAATGAACCACCGCGCCTGGCCCGAAGTTATAATTTCTAACCTGATAAATTTCTTGTTACTACCTGAAGCTCTCTACCTCGAGCCTTATCCGTTCTCCGGTACTTATACATACAAGGTATTCCAACTAGGGTCAGGTGTGTGGTCCCTGCACAACAGCCCTTACCAGGTAGAATAATTTATATCCTAAGACATAAGCTCACAGGCTAGAGTTTCAACACAGTAAAAGAAAGACAACTATCCTTTGACCAACATCACTCCAATCCTCCTCTGCCTCACCCACCAGTGCCTGGGAATCACCATTCTACTGTTTGCTTCTGTACATTTGACAATTGTAGATTCCACGTATATCATGGAACATTTGTCTTTCTGTGATTGGCTTATTTCATTTTTACTTAGCATAATGTCCTCCATGTTCCCCTGTGCTGTCACCAATGGCAGGATTCTCTCTCCTTTTTAAGGCTAAGTAGTATTCCAATGTGGATATGTACCATTTCATACCAGTCAATAAAAAAAGACTAAATCTTACTGTATTTCACTTTCTGTATCTATAAAACAGAGAACCCAGTATATTGAAAATAACAACTTCATTCATTACTTTATTTGATAGATTGTAATTATTAGTTTTTACCAAGTGTAATAAAACATTGTTTTTAAACAGAATTCTATGTTTATTACCCAGCTGCAAAGGATAATCATTCTCTTTTCAAAGAAAAACAGTAAAAAATAATTCTCCTGGAATGACTGAAGGTAATATTAAGTTACTTCTGATGTTCTTGCTTTCCCTAAATAGGCAAGACACGACCCCTCCATCCCCACTTCCTACAAGCCCAACAATGAGAAATACTAATGTTCTCATTGTGTTTCCTGATAGCACCATTATCTTGGAACAAAATGCAGTTTATAACTGAAATGTCCCCTGCCTGACTTATGAAAAACACATCTGAGATTTTCAGAAACCCCCTCAAAAGTTACCTAATAGCATATCAGAACTAGTAATCTCATAGGGTTTGAGTATTTTCTGTCACCTGGATAAATGAGCAGGTAAGGGATCATCCTGGCGATCCTGGACTTTTTGTATTAATGATTATCATTGATACTGATTAAAATAATTAATTTTATGATTATCAATAATTGTTCATTGATCAATAATTGTAATTTTGAAAAATTATCTTTAAGATGTCTAAATTATGTAAGAAAACTGAGACAATTACTACAAAGAAAAAGAGAGAAACAACCAATATTCCAAATGTTCTTGGTGCGAAATGAATTGTTTTAAATGGCATTAATTCTTTTTGTCACTATTTTATTTTTCACCTCTCTCCAATACTTTAACTTCTGCGTAACAAACTGAGTAGAACAGAAACAATTTATCAGACACATGGCCTCTGCATGTAATCTTATATTCTAGATGTACTTGTTCCTTGGGAAAGGAAATGTACCCTGAACAGGGTCAAAAATAAGGCTTCTTGGACCTTTTCTGAATTGCGTATCTTCTGCTCTTACAACCCACAAGGCTGGAGATCCTTCCATCTCACTTGAGTTCAATACTCTGCTCTCTAAGGTTTCTGTTCCCACCCTTATGTCTCTTTGTTTCTGATTTCTGCTCCCCTGTCTCACTCAGGCACCAGTCCTGCATACTGGCCATTCATCCTCTAAAGACAGACCAGGGTAGCTTGCCTTAGGCCTTTGAACATTGAATGATGGCTTCAATCTAGAAAGCCATTTGCCTCAGCACCACATTTCAGGGGTTAATTATGGTACTTTCAGATCTATTCAAACGTCACTTTCTCAAGGAAGCTACTCCGACTATCCTGTTTAAACTACAACCTCTCCACTCACCTCTACTCCTCAACCCCCTCATCATGCTCCAGGTTCTCTTCTGCAGCCATTACTACATTCTAGCTTTCTAGAAATTTATTTTTATAGTACGTATGTTTATCGTCTACTGGATATTCCCAGATTGTCTATTTGATGTTTCTAGCTGATGTATCCCAAATGCCAAGAAGACGGTCTGGCACATAATGAAAGCTCAAAAATATTTGTTGAATGAATGAATTAAATCACAGACTGACACCTAGTTAGACTTGAAACTACACCATGAACACATCTTAAAATAAGTCGCAAAATACCAGAATGTTTAGCCTGCTTTAATTGCATGTGATTGCAGGTACCAGTTGTTCCACTTCCTCATTGGACCACTGAAGCACTTGACTTTGTGAGGTTACCTGATTACTAAGAAGATAAAAGCATCTGACTTTTAATCTGGCTATTTCTCACCTCTAACCACAAAGGACATTACACAAATTAAAATCGTGTATTCATTGCCTAAAATAACACAGCCTAGCCTACTAAAGAAAATTTTCTCTCTGGATTGTTCTTAAACATATCTTTTTTTTATGCTTTAGTGCTAGGGAGTCTTTAAGTTTTGTTATTTACCTTATATTTTACATTCTGAAAGATCAAAGATTATTCCTTCCTCAGATCCCATGGTAACTGAGAGATCAATGTCTCCTGTCTGCACCTTAAATATGGCTCTTGGCTGCATAGTACAATTTTACTCTCTGCAGTTGCTCATATTAATTAAAGTTTTTAAAAACATAAATAATAGAAACTGACTTTGGTTAGTTTGAGTAAAAGTGACAGGATGATAAACTGGACTCCAATCAGACATTTGGCAGTATGTGCACAGGACAACAGTAGTATAGCAGAGGCCCCTTAGACCCACGGCCTGAAGTGCTGGATCACCTTGCAAGACATGTTAAGAGCTACTTGTTCTTCTGTCCCTAAGTTTGTCTTCTATACTAGGCCATTAAAAAGGAGGTAGGGTTAGCCATAGAGAAGATTCCTCTGGAATGAGCTGCCAGAGTTATGTGTAATTTCCTCATGATGGGAGATGTGCTCCACTCTTCAGAATGAATGAGAGGGGATTAGAAAGAATGACTCAGAGACCTCAACAGGAGTCTCCTGAAGGCGTAACGGACTCACATGTGGGAGTCAGAGGCCAGGACTGTGGCCTCAATGCAAATCAAAGAATTTTATATTGGGAGCTGCTGTACTTTCTCTGAAGCAAGAAAAAAATGCAGGATTTCCTGGGGACCCAGGAAGGTCTCAGGAGGGTCTGAAGAAGGGTGCCAAACTCAGATTAACTCAACAGGGATTATTTCAAAGAGACTGACCAGAAGGGACAAAGGCTAAAACCATAGTAACCTATATTTCTAGAGCTAGAATGAGTCTTAAACTTTTTGACCTGCTATGGAATTAAATGTTGCACAGTCTACTTTAATTTTAATAATTCCAGATTCATTTATAAATGGAAGAATGAGAAAAATGAGAAAATGTTCCTTGATGAAATATTACTAAATAGAAGAAAATAAACCCTTAAGATATCCTATTTACAGGCCAAGATTTATGGACATTTGTTACACAATCATTTCTTTTATTGTGACAATTTAGTTTTTGAAAACCTGCAACATGTTCCTAGGGCTTGATACCACATGGCCTTTTGCACAGCATCCTCAAAGATAATTTATGCCAGGTACAATAAAAGAAGGAGACAAATGGTGCACACTTGCTACTTTCTAATACTTTCATTAAATAATTGAGAGAGCCCACATGTCAGTGTCCAAAAAAATAAAATTACATTTAAATATCATCATATTACAGTCATTTAGGTTATAAATGATGAGGTCAAATTACTCATCTCTTTGACAGTAGGGATAAGATTATATCAACAGAACTTGATCATGAAATAAAAGTATTCGTCTTCTTTGCCTGACATTGTGAACATCTGAAACAAAATAAAACAAATCTCACAGATTGAGAATTGAGAAACATCAATATTATCTTCAGTAGAAAGTAAAAGGGATTTAAAGAAATAGACACTTTGCTGACTATTTGCTCTAAATTTTTAATCAGAATTAAAAATTCTGGATTTATTAATTACAGAAAAAGAAATGTATGATTGTCATTCATATTTGTTAAACTTTCTAGTACAAATATAGTATTTCATGATGCTTCATTCCTAAATACTTTAGCATGTGTCTGTCTCCCATGAGTAAGGATATTATCCTTATATTTGTAGTCAACAACTGAGCTCCTACATGCTAAACAACAGAATTGGACAAATGTACATACCTAATGACAGGTTATAGAAGAAGGTCTTGAATGCTACTTCTGCACCAAAATAAGTGTCCCTCAAGAGCACATGTGCTTGCAGGCAGCTTCAGAGGAAGAGGATAAAGGAGAAGAAAGGTAAGCAGGACCAATTTCCCCTTCTAAATTCACCAGTCAGGTTAAGTCATGAACCAAGCCCTTGGGAAAAATGTGTGAGAAGTGGAGAGCTATCATAGGTTATACAGCGCACTATTGGAGCTACACAGATAAATACATCTATAGCATAAAATAAACCTTTCATCCTAAAATGTATCAGGCATTAGCAATGTGCTGAGTGTTTCACTTCACTGAGTGGGCTAGACATATGAACGTATATTTTACCAAAAAAGAAATATGAATGGTTCTTAACCCTAGGTAAGCTACTCAGTCTACTCTCATTCATAATAAAACAAATGTTAATCAAAACTATACTGAGATACCATTTCTCACCCATTACCTTGGCGAATATTTAAAAATTTGGAAAACGTATTTTTTTGATATACCAGTGGAAACATAAGCACTAGCAGGAGTGTAGAATTTGGAGGGAAATTTGATAATATATAGCAAAATTACATGGACATTTGCACTTTCATCTAGCAATCTCACTTCTAGGAATATATCCTGAAGGCACATTGGCAAAAGCACCATCACCAATCAAAAAATCACACAAAACAACAACAAAGAAACTCCAGAAATATGTATTTACAATTTACAAGTCTACTGTTATCAGCATTATTTACATTACGTTATTTCCAAATATTCTTACAACTGAGCTGAAAAAGGAATGACACATATGTCTACATACTGTTATGGAGCGATTCTCAAAATATACTGCTAAGTGAAAGAGGGAAGGGAAGAAAAGCTTGTGTAATATACTATGCTATTATTTTCCAAAATATACAATAAGATAAAAGCAAAGTAAGTGCTTATAGGTGAAAAAAGAAGAAAAGTGGAAGAAGAATGAGCATAGCTACCATACTACCCTGAATATACTTGGTTTTAGATTTAACTATGAAAAGGGATATTTGGAACAAAGTAATTTTCTATGTATCAGTGGTGGGATATATTCTAAGGACAGAAATAACTGAAAATAAAAAACTCACTTTGTCTGCTCATGGTAATCTTGTTAGTGATATGGTTGTTAATGCCAGTTTGAGAGTATTGTGTGTAAAGTAAAATAATGCAAATGACTAATTATGTTGAGAAATGGGAATTTCTGTGTAGAAGTTCAAAGGTACAGAGAGATGTAAGATTAATGAGGTTAAGTAAATATCCCATAGGACTAAATTTGAATTGGAACTATCAGGAATTAGTAGTACAAAACTTATTATATATTTGTATCTCTTATTATAAACTGTATAGGCAAAAAAACAAGAACCTCCATAGTAGTGAGTACCTAGTATAAATACTATTTTTCCCACCAAACTAATAAAGTTCTTGGAAATATTTCTTGAAAAAGAAATGTACAACGTGAGCTTGGAACATAATTTCATACCAGAAAGCAAGAAAGACTGATTAGTTGAACTACTTGAAACAAAATTCTCGCTATTTGGCCTGGTTTTTATGACACTAATACCAACCCTCACTCTCTATTTTCAAAATGTCAAATGACTCTGAGTTAACATCATTAATCAGCCTGCTGTGATGAACTATAGCTAATGGGGTTGGGAAGAATGACTGATAAGAGTGTCGAATCTGGCCATGTTTTATGGTAGCTTTGTTTGAGGGAAACATGTTAACAATTGGATGATGTTCTCAGGGCAGCGTCACTTCTCCATCATCCTCTGGGGAGAGATTTGGCAATAAGGAAAATAATTAGCATGTATATATTACTTACTATATACCAAACAATTTTGAATACTTTTGTAGTATACCATAAGAAATATATCATGGCTAAAGATTAACAATATGTATAAGACCCACTCAAGCAGCTCGCAGGGCCAACACTATGTGTCACTTAGCAGTATGTTGCAACCTGGCCTGGGGATCTCTAACCCTGGCCGGATTTCCAGGAGACAAGACTATCTCAGCACAGATGTAACTCTCATAAACCTCAACAGAACTTACTCTTAGAAGAGTGCCTTAAATTTCCTTTAAGAAGGAAACACTTAATAACTGACCTGGAGTAAACACAGGTATAAGAAATGGGGAAGAATCCCTCAAACTCTAACAATGGTCTCCAGAAGGGGACCCTCTCTATCTGGCAGTCATCTGACCCCTAACTGTATCTGGCCCATGCCACTGGCTTGCTCCCACTTTCTGTCTTGCAAGAGTGCTGCCAAAATAAACTGCTTGAGTAAAACATACCCAGGACTGGGTAATTTATAAAGAAAAAGAGGTTTAGTGGACTCACAGTTCCACATGGCTGGGGAGGCCTCACGATCATGGTGGAGGGTGAGAAGCAAAGTCATGTCTTACATGGCATCAGGCAAGAGAGTGTGTGCAGGGGAAGTCCACTCTATAAAACCATCAGATCTCATGAGACTTATTCACTATCACAAAAACAGAACAGGAAAAGCCCGCCCTCATGATTCAGTTACCTCCCACCAGGTCCCTCTCATGACACGTGGGAATTATGGGAGACACAGCCAAATCATATCACTCATTTTGATGTGAATCAGACCAAAAGGGAAAAGAAACCTCTGGGAAAGCTGGGTAACTAGGATCACCTAAATCCCCCACCAAATTTTTTTGTGTACCTATTAATTTAATACTCATACCAACCCTGGAATGTAGGTACAATGTTTAGAGTTATTTTACAAATAAAGGCACCAAGACGCAGACTGGTTAAGTAGTTTACTCAACAATGTCACGTAGCTAGTAATTGGCACACCCAAGCTCTAAGTCCAGGCAGTGTGAATTTAGAGCCTATGCTCTTAATCACCATGCTATATCAGCCAGCACAGCTCAATCATGCCATAAGAGGAGCCATTGATACTGCACCTGTCATATTAAACATCCGCCCCTTGGAAAAGGCTGTTCAGAACTGTAAAAATGTTTTAACCTGAGTCACCTACAAAAGGACATAGTTATTGCTGACACAATATTTTTTAGCAATACTCTCTTCCCTCACACATACATGCACACAAAGGCCTTTCTTCCTTTTTAAGAACTTTAAATATATATTATTTAATTGAGGAAAAACTCAGGGTCAGGGGAAATTTTAGAGTTTTACTTTAAATCACTTGAGCTGGTATAGAAAACTCATGACAGCATACAATTTAAACAACCCACCAGCTATCACCAAGCAAGAAATTAGCAGAGCTGGGATATGAATCCATGTCTCTCAGATATCAAAGCCCTTACATGTGTTTAATAATGCTACATAGATCTCTAAGTGTGAACTAGTTACATAGTGTCTCTTAAATTTCAGTATGCTTACTTCATAAGACTGTTATATAAATGGAAATGGATTTAATAACCCCTACATAAATGATTCAAATATATAGCAACATAAAGCACAGTAGCATCACTATCCTGTTTGATTTTCCTTTTATCATCATTTTAATGATCAATTATCCATTCACAATTGATAGTTCAGCTTATAATGATAATGATGACGATGGTTAGGATAATGGAGTTATAAAAGGGGGGAAAAAGAGAAGGCAGAGGGAAGGAAAAGACAATACCTTTCTTTGTTTTCCATTACTTTTACAAGAATCAAAGTGTATTTTTTAATAAGGCATAAATAGAGGCTGTAAATGAGGAATCCAAATGTCAAATGAAAAATAATTATGTCCCTGTGCCCCCTAATAATTAATGTTGTGATTTACTGATTTTAATAAAAATAAGAATTTGCATATTGTTGCCTTTTCTGGTGATTCTGTTTATTGTTCCCAGTCCTTCACTGTGACAAGGGTCACTAACAAGAGTTAATATACTCTGTCTGAAAAATTTCTCTCTGCTATTATAATGATATGTAATAAGATAGTACTAGAGATTTTTTTTTCAGTCTACTTCTGCAGAAGAAATATTTCTTACTTAAGAATAGTTTGCCATTGGTTGTTAAATAATTTCTGTCTCAAAAATTATTCTGCAGCTTAAGCTGGCCACAACTTATAAATCTAATAAATAAATATTTATGGGATGATCTCTGCTTACTTTTGGAAATAAAGTTTGAGTGGATGAGTAAATTGGATGAAAGATTTTTTTGCCCTTATCTATCCTTTGAGAGTAATTGGTTCAACTATTTCTAAAATGCATGTTTCATTTACCTCCATTTCGATAATTACCTTTTTACCTTCCACGATATAGAAAACCAGTTTAAATAGATACAGTCTAGCACTTATGTGACAGAATCCTAATTGCACCCAAGAGCATATTGAAGTTTCAGGTTTTCTGAGCAGCATTAATGCCACTTATCTTTAGAGTGCACTATTCTTTACAAGAACAAGCATCTTCCAGCAGTTACGAATGGATTATGTATAGTAATAGTTCTGTCTTTAAAATGGAAAATAGGGATGAAAACTGTTGGCATATCTAGAAGCCTCTCTGTCTTTAATGTATCTCAGTGATAATAAGACTTTTATTCTCACTTAACCAATATAAGAATCCATTAGAGTATAAATGTATATGCTGTGACGCTGTGGACTTCTTTATATAATTACTGTTTCTGAAGATTTTAGATAAATTACAAATTATATAACCATGCCATAATGTACACATGGGCAACAAGAGACCTAGCCAATGAGAATTTGCCTGGTACCTTTAGCAGTGCATGTAAAGTGTCACTTAGCTGTCCATCCACATCAGAAACAAGGTTCTAAAAATCAATTATTGATTCATGACTATCACATTCAGATGCCCATCAAAAATCGCACAAAGATTTTCCTCAGCTAGGTGCTTTATAGTGAAAAAAATAATTGAAAATTATTGAACTGTTTCATAGAATAAAAGCATAATTTGAAAAAGAGTTAACTGCATAATAACATATGAAACACTACAAATAATCTCCAATGTGCTTCTTACATTAACTTCCAAACTTTCACATTGGGCAACTGAGGAAATAATCAGATGTGACTGAGGAAAAGGTCCCTAGCACTGTTCCATTTATGTCTTTTTCTCCAATTTATGTCTTGGTTTTCTTCTGCAAGAATTTATTACAAATTGCAATGTATTTTCTGATTCTGTCTGTAATAGGTCAATGTTTAGAACTTAGTGTCAGTCTACATTACTGTTGTAAGTTTCACTTTCTCTGTCTTTATACAACCAATATAAAATAGGTTATTTTCTTTTAATTCACTGCATACTGTACGCTTACTTCCTTTTTTGCTCCCCCCCACACCCCCACCCCCACTTCTCTTTCTGTGACACTATGAAGGGTTATGGGAACTTCTGGCTTTATTGGCAACTCCCAAGTTGAATCTGACTTCTAAAGCATACCACATGACGCAGAAGTCAAGGACTCCAAAATGTTCTCTATATGTAACATCTGCTAACTCCCACATCACCAAAATACTGCTCATTCTTCATATTCAGGGTCTTTCCAGTATATTACATCACGTGTATTTTGTGTACACTATAGACATGAGAAAGATACAGTAACCAATTGAATGCTTCTGTATTTACAGGCCTCTTTCCTGTGCCTTTATCAGGGTAAATGACAAAGTAAAATAGTAAATACCCATCTATGAATAACATAGTCTAGTTCTGGTTCATTTACTTGGAGATAGAACAAAACTGGAACATGTTGAAGAAATCCTTAGTGTCTAATAAGGGATTTTGAAGTCTCAGGTTAGCTCTGTAAAATAATCTATGGACCATTTAATTTCCAATTTAAGGAGTTGCAAAGCATTGTCCACAGTAACTGGCTTTAACTTGAAACCAAACGCGATCAGTGGAATAAGGCAAGTTTGCCTTTAGGCTTGCTCAACTGCATTTTGGAAACAGATTTGGGTGATGTGAGAAAGATGTACTCAAAAGAAAATTTAAGTGGATAGAAGCTTAAAAAAACCCAAAGGGTCAAAATATGCAAATGACTATATTCTAATGACTTTAGTAAAGGGATAAGAGAATTCTAGAAGACATAAAATAGATATGACAATGGATGCAACTCTAATTAAAAGTCTGAGGAAGGACTTGCACACCTCCAGTGAGTCAGAGCAGCCACCTCTCCGGTGGTTCCATGGTGTAATGGTAAGCACCCTGGACTCTGAATCCAGCAACCAGAGTTCCAGTCTCAGCGTGGACCTTTACCTGAAGTCCAAATAAAATCTCTTGCTTTGGAAGCCCAAAAAGGCAAACTTTGGGGTGGAAAGGGAGTGCCTCTGACAATACAAATTATGTACGACTATAATTTTTTAAAGTTGTATTGTTTCTCACAGACTATAGAAATCTCGAAATGTGAGATGCTAAAAAGAAATAATTTGTAATCAGTACTTTCAAATAAATTAAATATAACTTTATTAAATAGTATCATTAGAGTAATAAAGCATAATAAAATGAATCTGAGGGAGGCTAATGAGAACAAATTCTGCCATTTTTATTAGGCAATACCTTCAAGTCAAGTTGAAAGATAACTTTTTTTTGGCTTCAAAAATATTAAAAGCATATAAGTTTGCTATTAGTAATTTGTTAGTAATTATTTATTAATAAATATCTTATGAATATTATTTGCAATATTATTAGTGTATCTTTAAAATACTTTTAAAGTGACATTTTTCTCATTGAAATCCATTGCAAGTAAAATATGTATTTAGTTAACAAAATCATTAAGTTTAATTTTTATATAGATTTTATCACAATATTTTCAACTACCTGACAATACATGAGAAATATTATTACTTCTCATTTGTCCAGGGGAAAGCCACTTCACACAATAGCTTAGAGTAAGGTAAACTTAGTGTAAGTCTTGATAGAATTGCTAGCAAAGGAAAACAGTACGTCAACTGAAAATGGAGTGAGCATCCTGTTTTAGAAGCAGCTGGCACAATGGACTTTTGCTGAACAATTTGAGATTAAATGGGAATTTACTCAAACATTAAGACATTAAAAAATATACATGTGGCTGAGCGTGGTGGCTCACGCCTGTAATCCCAGCACTTTGGGAGGCTGAGGCAGGCAGATCATGAGGTCAGGAGATAAGACCATTTTGGCTAACATGGTGAAACCCTGTCTCTACTAAAAATACAAAAACTTAGCCAGGTGTGGTGGTGGGCTCCTGTAGTCCCAGCTACTTGGGAGGCTGAGGCAGGAGAATGGCATGAACCTGGGAGGTGAGGCTTGCAGTGAGCTGAGATCACGCCACTGCACTCCAGCCTGGGCAACAGAGCAAGACTCCATCTCAAGAAAAAAAAAAACATGTATATATATATGACTCTTGACATTTCCCTTAGGTAAATGCGATAGATAAATATTAGTTCTCTTAGACTGAGAAACAGGGTAATTCAGGCAATCCCTTTAACCAGACTGCCTGGTTTGAATCCAGGTTCCACCACTTAACTGCTGTGTGTATCAGGAAAAAAATCACTAAGCATTTCTGTGCCTCAGTTTCCTTGCCTGTTAAATGGGAGTGATATAATTGACTACTTTGTTGACTTGTTGCTAGGAAAGAATATGTTAATATATTTAAAGCATGAATAAAAATGTCTGCTACATAGTATGCAAAAAGGATTTATGCTACACAGGACTTCTCTCTGGCAGTGTTCATTTTAAGAAAATAAGAACAATTTTTGCTATTTCAGGCATGAAAATATTTACTAGAGAAAATCAGGCATTTATAATTTTGTTAGAAAAGCTGGGAGTGTGAAAATAGAGGTGGTGTCACAGAAAATTTTGCTTGAATGGTCAAGAACGTGTTTCTGTCATCCAGAATTCAGGGATGTTCAAGAATCTGCTGTCAGAGTCATAGCTGATCATCAGTTTTGCAGTTAGTGACTAAAAATCAAACTTAGAGTCTGGTTAGCCATTACAAAAACTTTTGTCAGCTAAAGCCTGCAATAGCATTATCCACTGCTGTTGCTAGAGAAAGAATGACCTCTGATTTATTTTTGTGTTCCAAATCTTCTGTTAGTGCAAGGCATTGGCAGAAGGTAAATTGAGTCCAGAACACTAAAGGCAAGTAAATCCAGAAAAGATAGCTTTTTTGTCTTCTAGCCCCAGTGACGTTCAGACAGGCTTACAAACAAGGGAGTGAAAATAATGTATACAGATTTTCAATAAAAACATCCAGCCCAGGCCCTTACCCTGTTCTTTGTCAACTAATTTGAGAACTCTCTGAGAAAAAGAAAGCTCCAAAGTGAAAGAAAAAATCTCTATGAAACTTTGGGCCAAAATGTAAAAAAGAAAAATCACTTAATGCTCCTTGAAATTAACCATATTCTTTATCTGTGTCCCCATCTAAATTCTACATTCTAAAATCCATATATTTGGATCTCTTAAGGGCAGATATTTTATCGGGAGTCACCTATGCCTCAAGTTTTATGCATAAGACAGATGAACACTTGTGAAATAAAGGAATCATAATCAAAACATACAAAAAAGGTGCATTTGATTAGTAGAAACCCATTACACATTCTTCAAAAGTAAAGAAGCTGAGGTCAATGGTGAAATCAATGGAAATGTTGAGAAATGCCTTACCCCTGTTCCCTTCAAACAGCATGAAATGAGCTAAAAATAAAAGATTGTCTAAAAGTAGCATAAAACTTACTGGATTTTAAAGAAACTGGATCACAGTGGAGATCCTGTTAGGATATTATCTGACCTATATCTTTCTTTAAAAATTACAATCAGGATCTGTTTTTGAAGATGAGTGGAGAGTCTGTCTTGTGTTTTTCAGAGAGCGAGAGATCCAACAGAATACACATAGATAGAATAGACACACATATGAGAGGGGCTTTATTAAGGAATTGACTCAAGTGATTGTGGAGGTTGAGAAGTCCCACAGCTGGCCATCTGCAAGCTGGAGACCCAGAGAAGTCAGTTGCTTAGCTAAGTCTGAAAGTCTCAGAACCAAGAAAGCTAAGGGTTTAACTCTCAGTTTTAAGCTGAAGGCCTGAGAATCTGAGGGCCTGCTTGTGCAAATTCAACAATTCAAATACTTCAGAACCTGGAGTTCTAATGTTCAACGGCAGGAGAAGAAGAGTTCTCCAGCTCCACTAGAGAGAGCAAATTCACCTTTCCTCTGCCTTTTTGTTCTAGCTGAGCTGTCAGCTGATTAGATGATGCCTGACGACGTTGAGGACAGATCTTCTTTACTCAGCTCACCGATTTAAATGCCAATGTCTTCTAGAAACACCCTCACAGATCTATCCAGATATAATGCTTTACTCATTAACTATTTCTTGATCCAGTCAAGTTGACACCTAAAATTAGCCATCACAGTCTGTGTTCACATTTTTAACAGATCTCAAATTTATGCTTATGATTTCTAATTAACACAGTCAATGTAGCATGTGTCTGTGTTTGTATGCATGTAAAATATGTAAACATATTATTAAAAGAAAGAATTTCTTTTGTAAGAAAATATCTTTTTAATCCTAAATTGTCATTTCTCTTTTTTTAAGTATATAAAAATTTTCTAAAAATATAAAGGAGCCTGGCTCTTTTTTGACCTAAGAGTCTTGGTTAGTGTCATGAACAACCTTCTTTCTGGTGACTTTGGTCACAACTAGTTTGGCTCTTGGCCTTGTTTTGCTGCCATTAAAATACATTATGTAATGATGAGGCTTCCTTACTCTACATATTTGAAGCTTGAGAATCCTTCAAGGTCTTTCAATAAGTCTATAAATATATGCCATCAGGTCATTCAAGTTTGAACTTCATTTTGTGATGATATTGACACTGAGCCCAAACTTGGTATGTGTGGAGGGATGTGGATGGGGGGTGTGGGAGGGCAGTGCTAAGATATCCAAAACTTGATTGTTGTCAATATTGAATATTGATATTGGATATTATAAAGCCTAGTAAGATAAATTAGCATTTGTTGAGCATCTGCTTTTTGTAGGGACAATGGTTCTTAAATAGAATGTTAAATATCTTATGTGAAGGCATCAAATAGAAATAGAATAAATCTGTGTTGTTCCGGGTGAAATGCTGAAGATGGACCCATCTTCCTTTTCTCCCCTTGCTCCTGCCCCTTGCCTCTTTTTTAACACAGCTGGGCCTCCCAGATAGCATAGTTTCAATATAATTATTGCTGAAATTTTACCAAGTATTCCATTTTCAGTTTTAATTCCTAATACATACAAATCTACAGTTAGAAACTTGCCAACATCCTTAATATCCATGAGACAGTTGAGTACAATCTTTGAATCTCAACACTGTGCCTTCAAACAGTTCTTTGCTGAAAGACTAACAAAGAAAAAAAAATCTGTTTTCAGGGTTTTCTTAAAAAGCTTTTATGGTAGAAGGAGCAATTCTTACCATTTAGTAAATTTATTTTATAAAAACTTAATTAAAAATAAACCTTGGATGGGCACGGTGACTCACGCCTGTAATCTCAGCAGTTTGGGAGGCCAAGGCAGGCAGATCATGAGGTCAGTTGTTTAAGACCAGGCTGGCCTTGGTTTCACTGTTGGAACCCTGCCTCTACTAAAAATACAAAAATTAGGCCAGGCCTGGTGGCTCACGCCTGTAATCCCAGCACTTTGGGAGGCCGAGGTGGGCGGATCACAAGGTCAGGAGATCGAGACCATCCTGGCTAACAAGGTGAAATCCCGTCTCTACTAAAAATACAAAAAATTAGCAGGGTGTGGTGGTGGGTGCCTGTAGTCCCAACTACTTGGGAGGCTGAGGCAGGAGAATGGCATGAACCCAGGAGACGAAGCTTGCAGTGAGCTGAGATCCTGCCACTGCACTCCAGCCTGGGCAACAGAGCGAGACTCCGTCTCAAATAAAAAAAAAAAAAATACAAAAATTAGCCAAGTGTGGTGGCACGCACCTGTAGTCCCAGCTACTTGGGAGGCTGAGGCAGGAGAATCGCTTGAACCCAGGAGGCGGAGGTTGCAGTGAGCCAAGACTGCAACATTGCACTCTAGCCTGGGCAATGGAGTGAGACTCTGTCTCAAAAAAAAATAAAATAAAATAAAAAATAAAAAATAAACCTCATTCACAATAGTAACATAATATAAAAGGCCAATAAATTTCTAAAAAAGAGATACATCTATAATACATGAGAAGAAAACCACAAAAGTTTTTAAAAGGTATTAAAAAATGTGAAGAAATGCCAAATGTCTAAAAGAGAATGTTAAATTATTTAAAGAAATAACTCTTGAAGAATTAATATTCTATAAATGTGAATCAAAATTCATACAGTATTTCTGAAAAGGAAGAAAAATATTACACTATTTAAAAGCTGCTAAAATAGCATTACAGGTTGCGTATTCCTTATTTGAAATGTTTGAGACCAAAAGTGTTTCAAATTTGTTTTTTTTTTATTTGGAGATTTTTTTATATACACAATGAAATATTTTGGGGATAGGATTCAAGCCTAAACATGAGTTTCATTTATGTTTCATATACTCCTTATGCACATAGCCTGAAGGTAATTTTATTTTTCTCTGAGGGATTCTGAATAAACTGTGTCATGCATCTGTGTTTTGACTGTGATATGAGCTCAGCCCTGAAATTTTCCACTTATGGAATAATGTCAGTGCTCAAATTTTCATATTTTGGAACATTTCAGATTAAGGATTTTCAACCTAATCATGGTTAACATTGTGAATATTAAACCATATTATAACCACTAATAATGAAGAAAGTGTAAGACTAATAAATAGAAGTGTCACAAAAATGAAATGTGACAACTGACAAAGGAAACCTCACATGTCATTGTGATGATAAAGAGAAACATACATGTGTTAGGAGACCAGTTAAGATAAAGAAAAATAAATGTAACTTGCACTCTTCAAATAATTTCCATAGAGATAAAAGAATTAAATGTAAAAGTACACACTAAAATTAGAAGCTAATGTATTATTGATTTTTAAATGTTAAAGGATGGATAGTTTTCTAATATTAAAACAAAAAAATCTGAGCATTAAAAACCCCTGTACTTAAAAAATAAAAGGCAGCAAAATGGATGTTGCTTGCAATGACTATGAATTTGAGTTTATTATTTCTATTGTAAAATATTTATATAAATTATTAAGAAACATAAACTCATATTTACTGTAAATAAAAATGATCAAACTCATTAACAAGCAAAAAAGTAAATATTTTACATTAGAATATTATTTTTGGTAATTAACTTAGCAAAATATATTGTTAAGTGAAAATACACAGTATTGATGCATGAATCACATATTTCAGGTAGATAGAAATACTGGAACAACTACTGAGTAAATATTTGGCAATTTATGTAAAAAATTATAAAATATTCAAATTTAATATGTCAATTTCTAGGTGCTGCATCCTAAAGAAATAACACAAAAATCTTACAAAAATTATAAATAATATTCACTACTGTTTTTAAAATGTTATTAATGTTGAATATATTTTCTTCAACTTACTAAATTATAATATTAAATTAATTAAAACTATATATTATGGGTTTTATAAAAATGTATTGAGCACACACTATAAAAGAGGCAATAATATAATACTAATGTAAGTTATAAAACATGATAGAATAAACAGCTGTTAACTCACTATCTGCATGTTCATATTTCTATGCTTTCTTTCCCTACAGATAATTTCTTCCTGAATTTTATCTTTATCACTATAAAACATAAGCATTCCTAAACAAAGTACTGTTTTGCATATGTGTGTGAGCTTCATAAATATGCAGCTTAATGTAAATAATTATCCATTATTTTCTTCTTTCTTCTATTTTCCCTTCATGTTCCAGGTTGTTTTCTTGCAGTTATCATATGTAGAAGATTGATCTGTGTTTTAATGTGTAGCTGCATAATAGTTTTGTAGAACTGTTCAATAGTCTGCCTCTCCATTTTCCTGTGAAAGCACATGCGGGTGTGCTATCTTCTAGTCTTCTAGTACAGAAGTACATAAACTCTCTAGTATATAACTAGTAGTAAACTTGTTAAGTAATGGAGTGTCCGTGTTTTCAGCTATAAATAAAGTACCAATAGTTTTAGCTTTACAAGATGAAAAGTTATGGAGATGGATGGTGGTAATGGGTGCACAACACTATGAATGTACTTAATACCACTGAATTCTACAATTAAAAATGATTATGATGGTAAAGTATATGTTATATGTATTTTACTAAAATAAAAACATTAGGAAATAAGCACTGATTTGTTTATTAAAGCTATTGTACCAATATGCTCCAACCAAAATAGTAAGCATTCCAATTGCCCCACTGATACACATTCTCTTCAATATGTGGTAACTTCAGTTATGATTTTTGCTGACAGAGTGAGAGTAAGCTTGTATCTGATTGAGTTCTTAACTTGTATTTCACTAATTACTGAAAATGTTTAACATCTTTTCATATGTTTATTTGATATTTGACCTTTCTCTTCTGTAAAATGACCATTTATTTTGCTCAGTTTTCTATCAGATTTGCCTTTACAAATTTACCTTTATAGAAATATATATATATAAACATACACGCACATACATAAAGTCTTAAAATGTTTAGAATACACTTATTCCTTTACAGTTATATATATGCAAAATACCTTCTCTGAGAAAGTGGCTTTTATTGTACTTTCTTTATGGTGCCTTTGATTAATAAACATTTTTAATTTTGAGATAGTAGAATTTATCAATTTTTTTTATGTTTTGCAAAATGCATGTCCTATCTAAAAAAGCATTTCTAATCCTAGATTATAAATATATTATCTGATAAATCATTCAAAATATTTTAAAATGCTACCATTCTAAAGGCAACAGAAATTGATAGACATTGTAAATTAGGAATCTATTTAGTATGTCTTTTTTCCATATGGATAACCATTTGTATCAAACACTTTATGAATAATTTACCATTTTTTAGTGACCTGCAAAGACACCTCTGTCATACATAAAATTTTTATATAAAAATTATAAAGAAACTATAGAAAAGCTACCTACAACTATATAAAAATTATAGTTTATTTCTGGGCTCTCTATCTTTTCTTACTTTTTTTATTTCAAGTTATTTGATTCTTTATTTGCTAAAGTTTTTACCAAATCTCAGTATCTGTTAGAAAATATTTCCTGCCTATGTTCATCCTCTTCAGAAAGGCCCTGGCTATTCTTGGCCAAGAGCAGTCAATAGTCACTGGTGCCATCTATTCTTTTTCTTTATAAACCTAACAATATTTTTAGTCATTTTATTGATTTTGCCAAAGAAATCAACTTTTGGAATTATTAGTTTTTTCACATTTTTGAGGAGCAATTATACGACTTTTAACATCATTATATAAATGTTCAACTAATTATATTTAGTCTTAAAAAATAATTTTTAATACAAGTTCAGAACAATTAAGCTACAATTCCAACACCAAAATGCTTTGAAACTAAAGATTTTCATAACTCATTTGGTGAGGAAATCTTGCCTGAACTGAAGTGAGGTTATCTAAAGTCTTAATTTATACTAATGTAATACTTATGTTTACATGCAGAAATATTAGTGTGTTTAATATAAGATGTCTCCCTGTATCCTTCTGGATGCATTATAATATATATCTTGTAGGCTGAAAACTTCCATATGTACTTATTAAAAAAAAGAACTGATGATTGATGGATCCATCTTTCATAAATAAAAACAGATAAAAAGATTAATCCCAAGAAAAGTAGAAAGAAGATAAAATGAGAATGGCAGAAATTTAATAAAATGGACAGCAAGCCCAAAATTAGTTCTTTGAAAAAGACAACAAAAATGATAAACTTGTATAAGATTCATATGAAAAATAAAATAGAAAAAAATTAGCATACTAGAACAGAGAAAAAGTTGGCACACTCTATATCCTGTAGACACTAAAAAGATAAAAGGATATTATGAACAACTTTGTAACAATAAATTTTAAAGCAGTAAAATCTCAGAAAAGCACGACTTAATAAAATGCTCAGGAGAAATTGGGGAAATATTGTGGTTTCATAACTATTTAGAAATCAAATCAGCAATATAATAACTTTTCAGAGATGCCTTCTGTTTCTACCCTCTTTTCCCTGAAACAACCAAAATACTGGAAAAAAAATATATGAAACAATAGTTTTTCAAGAGACTGGACATCAGATAGCGATTCAGCAAAATGGGAGAGGAGGTGAAAGAAGTTGAGCTCTTTATTGCTCCAAGTTAATGCCTTGAGAGAGTCCAGTGCTGTGAAGCAGAGCAGGGAAACCCAGACAAAGCAAACCTGAATTAAAGAGGTAGACCTCTGTTAGCTCAGGGGTTTGTTTGCTCTAGGTCCTCTAGTTCTTTGAATTGTAATGTTAGGGTGTCAATTTGAGATCTTTTCAGCTTTTTGATGTGGGCATTTAGAGCTATAAATTTCCCTCTTAACACTGTTTTAGCCGCGTCCCAGAGATTCTGATATGTTGTCTCTGTGTTCTCATTGATTTCAAAGAACTTCTTGATTTCTGCCTTAATTTCACTATTTACTCAGAAGTCATTCAGGTGCTGGTTGTTCAATTTACATGTAGTTGTGTGGTTTTTAGTGGGCTTTTTAACCTTGAGATCTTATTTGATTGTGCTGTGGTCTGTGAGACTGTTTTGTTATGATTTCAGTTCTTTTTCATTTACTGATGAGTGTTTTGCTCCCAACTGTGTGACCAACTTTAGAGTAAGTGCCACATGGTTCCGAAAAAAATGTATATTCTGTTGTTTTGGGGTGGAGAGTTCTGTTGATATCTATCAGGTTTACTTGGTCTGCAGCTGAGTTCAAGTCCTGAATATCTTTGTTAATTTTCTGCCTTTATGATCTGTCCAATACTGACAGTGGGGTATTAAAGTCTTCTGCTATTATTGTGTAGGGGTCTAAGCCTCTTTGTAGGTCTCTAAAAACTTGTTTTATGTGTCTGGGTGCTCCTGAATTGGGTGCATATATATTTGGGATAGTTTGCTCTTCTTGTTGAATTGAACCCTTTAACATTATGTAATGCCCTTCTTTGTCTTTTTTGACTTTTGTTGGTTTAACGTCTATTTTGTCCAAAACTAGGATTGAAACTGCTTTTTTTCTGCTTTCCATTTGCTTGGTAAATTTTCCTCCATCCCTTTATTTTGAGTCTATGTGTGTCTTTGCACATGAGCTGTGTCTCTTGAATACAGTACGCCAGTGGGTCTTGTCTTTGTATCCAGCTTGCCATTCTGTGTCTTTTAATTGGAGCATTTAGCCCATTTACATTTAAGTTTAATATTGTTATGTGTGAATTTTATCCTGTCATCATGATGCTGGCTGGTTAATTTTGCAGAGTTGTTAATGTAGTTGCTTTATAGTGTTGTTGGTCTGTGTACCTCTGTGTGTTTTTTAGTGGCTGGTAATGGTTTCTCCTATCTATGTTTAGTGCTTCCTTCAGGAGCTCTTGCAAGGCAGTTCTGGTGGTGATGAAATCCCTCAGCATTTGCTTGTCTGAGAAAGATTTTATTTCTCCTTCACTTATGAAGCTTAGTTTGGCCAGATACGAAATTCTGCTTTGGAATTTCTTTTCTTCAAGAATGTTGACTATTGGCCCCCAAACTCTTCTGGCTTCTAGGGTTTCTGCTGAGAGGTCCAATGTTAGTCTGATGGGCTTCCCTTTATAGGTGACCTGACCTTTATCTGTGGCTGCCCTTCACATATTTTTCTTCATTTTGACCTTAGAGAATCTGATGATTATGTGTCTTCAGGTAGATCTTCTTGTGGAGTATCTTATTGAGGTTCTCTGGATTTCCTGAATTTGAATGTTGGCCTGACTTGCTAGGTTGGGGAAGTTCTCCTGAATGATATCCTGTCATGTGTTCTCCAACTTGGTTCCATTCTCCCCATCTCTTTCAGGTCTCCAATCAATGGTAGGTTCGGTCTTTTTACCTGGTCCCGTAGTTCTCGGAGGTTTTGTTCATTCTTTTTCATTCTTTTTTCTCTAATCTAGTCTGCCTGCCTTATTTCATCAACATAGTCTTCAAGCTCTGATATTCTCTCTTCCGCTTGGTCAATTCGGCTATTGATACTTGTGTTTGCATCGTGAACGTCTTGTGCTGAATTTTTCTGCTCCATCAGGTCATTTATGTTCCTCTCTAAACTGGTTATTCTAGTTAACAGCTACTGTAATCTTTTATTATGGTTTTTAGCTTCTTTGCATTGGGTTACAACATAATCCTTTAGCTCAGCAAAATTTGTCATTACCCACTTTCTGACGCCTACTTCTGTCGGTTCATCCATTTCAGCTTCAGCCTGTTCTGTGCCCTTGCTGGAGATGTGTTGCAATCATTCGGAGGAGAAGAGCCATCTAGCTTTTGGGTTTTCAGCGTATTTGTGTTGGTTTTTCTTCAACTTTGTGGATTTATCTACCTTTGATCTTTGAGGCTAATGACCTTTGGATGGGCTTTTTGTGGGATCTGTTTTTTGTTGCCATTGCTGTTGTTGCTTTCTGTTTATTTTTCTTCTAACAGTCAGGCCTCTCTTCTGCAGGTCTGCTGGAGTTTGCTGGGGGTCCACTCCAGATCCTTTTGCCTAAGTATCACCTGTGGAGGCTGCAGAACAGCAAAGATTGCTGCCTGTTTCTTCCTCCGGTAGCTTCATCCCAGAAGAGCACTGACCTGATGCCAGCCAGAGGTCTCCTGTACGAGGTGTCTGGTGACCCCTGATGGGAGGTCTCACCCAATCAGGAGGCATGGGGTCAGAGACCTGCTTGAGGAGGCAGTCTGTCCCTTAGCAATGCTGTTGGCTGTGCTGGGGGAATCCCACTCATCAGGATCAGCCAATCTCTTCAGAGCTAGCAGGCAAGAAAGATTAAATTCACTGAACTTGAGACTGGCCGCCCCTCTCCCCAGGTGCTCTGCCCCAGGGAGATGAGAGTTCTGTCTATAAACCCCTAACTGGAGGTGCTGGACTTCCTGCAGGGATGCCCTGCCCAGTGAGGAGGGATCTAAGGAAGCAGTCTGGCCACTATGTGCCACAGCCGATTTACTGCACTGTGGAGAATTTCACCCAGTCCAAACCTCTCAGGGTCCTTAGCACTGTCAAGGGAAAACCACCTATTAAAGCCACAGTAATGGTGGTCACCCCTACCCCGGGGAAGTCGGTCATCCCACACAGATTTCAGACTGTTGTGCTGGCAGTGGAAATTTCAAGCAAGAATTAATCAAGCTCAGAACGGAACTGAAGAAGATAGAGACAAGAAAAGCCCTTCGAAAAATAAACAAATCCAAGAGTGGTTTTTTTGAAAAAAATCTGTAAAATAGACCACTAGCAAGACTAATAAAAAAGAAAAGAGAGAAGATTCAAACAAACACAATCAGAAACAATAAGGGGGATACCACCATTGACTCCACAGAAATACAAACAACCATTAGGGAATACTGTAAACATCTTTATGCAAATAAACTGGAAAATCTAGAAGAAATGGATAAATTCCTGGACACATACATTCTCCTAGGACTGAACCAGGAAGAAAGTGAATCCCTGAGTAGGTCAGTAACAAGCTCTGAAATTGAGGCAGTAAAAAATAGCCTATCAACCAAAAAAAGCCCTGTACCACATGGATTTACAGCTGTATTCTACCAGAAGAACAAAGAGAAGCTGGTATCATTTCTTCCGAAAGTATTCCTAACAATTGAAAAGGAGGGACTCCTCTCTAACTCAAGCCAGCATCTTCCTGAAACCAAAACCTGGCAGAGATACAACTTCAGGCCAATATCCCTGATGAAAATCAATGCAAGCATACTCAATAAAACACTGGCAAACTGAATCCAGCAGTACATCAAAAAGCTTATTCACCACGATCAAGTTGGCTTCATCCCCGGGATGCAAGGCTGATTCAACATATACAAATCAATAAACACAATTCATCACATAAACAGAACTAAAGACAAAAACCACATGGTTATCTCAATAGACACAGAAATGGCCTTCAATAAAATTCAACATCCCTTCATGTTAAAAACTCTCAATGAACTAGGTATTGATGGAACATACAACAAAATAAGAGACATTTGTGACAAACCCACAGCCGATATCATACTGAATGGCCAAAAGCTGGAGGCATTCCTCTTGAAAACTGGCACAAGACAATGATGCCCTCTCTTATCACTCTTATTCAACATAGTGTTGGAAGTTCTGGCCAGAGCAATCAGGCAGGAGAAATAAATAAAGGGTATTCAAATAGGAAGACAGGAAGTCAAATTGTCTTTGTTTGCAGATGACATGCTCCTATATCTAGAAAACCTCATCGACTCAGCCCAAAAGCTTCTTAAGCTGATAAGCAACTTCAGCAGAGTCTCAAGATACAAAATCAATGTGCAGAAGTCACAAGCATTCCTATACACTAACAACAAACAAGCAGAAAGCCGAATCATGAATGAACTCCTATTCACAATTGCCACAGAGAGAATAAAATACCTAGGAATATAGCTAACAAGGGAAGTAAAGGACCTCTTCAAGGAGAACTACAAACCATTGCTCAAAGAAATCAGAGAGGACACAAGCATATAGAAAAACATTCCATGCTCACGGATAGAAAGAAACAATATCGTGAAAATGGCCATACTGCCCAAAGTGATTTATAGATTTAATGCTATTCCCATTAAACTACCATTGACGTTCTTCACAGAATTAGAAAAAACTATTTTAAAATTTATATGGAACCAATAAAGAGCCCAAATAGCCAAGACCATCCTAAGCAAAAAGGACAAAGCTGGAGGCATCATGCTACCTGACTTCAAACTGTACTACAACGCTACAGTAACCAAAACAGCACAGTACTGGTACAAAAGCAGACACATAAACAAATGGAACAGAGTAGAGAACTCATAAATAAAACTGCACATCTACAAACATCTGATCTCCGATAAGCCTGACAAAAACAAGCAAAGGGGAAGGATTCACTATTTAATAGTGTTGGGAAAACTGGCTGGCCATATGCAGAAAATTGAAACTGGATCCCTTCCTTATGCCTTATGCAAAAATTAACTCAAGATGGATTAATGACTTAAATGTAAAATCCAAAAATATAAAAACCCTAGGAGAAAATCTCGCCAATACCATTCAGGACACAGGTGTGGGCAAAGGCTTTATGATGAAATCGCCAAAAGCAATAGCAACAGAAGCAAAAATTGACAAATGAGATCAAATTAAACTAAAGATCTTCTGCACAGCAAACAAAACTATCATCAGAATGAACAGATACCTACAGAATGAGAGAAATGTTTTGCAATCTATCCATCTGTCAATGGTCTACTATCCAGAATCTACAAGGAATTAAGCAAATTTACAAGACAAAAAAAACCACTAAAAAGTGGGCAAAGGATATGAACAAACATTTCTCAAAAAGACATACATGCAGCCATGAAAAAAAAAGCTCAACCTCACTGATCATTAGAGAAATGCAAATGAAAACTACAGTGAGATACCATCTTATGCCAGTCAGAATTGTGATTATTAAAAAGTCAAGAAACAGCAGATGCTGGCAAGGTTGTGGAGAAATAGGAATGCTTTTACGCTGTTGACGGGAATTTAAATTAGTTCAACCGTTGTGGAAGACAGTGTGGTATTTCCTCAAAGATTTAGAATTGGAAATACCATTTGACCCAGCAATCCCATTAGTGGATATATACCCAAAGGAATATAAGTCACTCTATTATAAAGATACATACAAGAGTATGTTCATTGCAGCACTGTTCAAAATAACAAAGACACGGACTCAACCCCAATGCCCATCAATGATAGACTGAATAAAGAAAATATGGTACATATACACCATGGAATACTATGCAACCATAAGAAGGAATGAGAAAATGTCCTTTGCAGGGACATGGATGAAGCTGGAAGCCATTATCTTCAGCAAACTAATGCAGGAACAGAAAACCAAATATTGCATATTCTCACTCATAAGTGGGAGCTGAACAATGAGAACACATGGATACAGGGAGGGAACAACACTTACCGAGGCCTGTTGGGGGAGGGCAGGAGAGAAAGCACTAGGGAGAAGAGCTAATGCATCCTGGGCTTAATACCTAAGTGATGGGTTGATAGGTGCAGCAAACCACCATGGCACACGTTTACCTATATAACAAACCTGCACATCCTGCATATGTACCCCAGAACTTAAATAAATAAATAAATAATTATTAAAATAAAAAAGAGGTAGACCTGAGAGCCCAGAGGAAACAAGGCAGCTAACGTTCATAGGACATAGTTTGTGAAATGAGAGAGAAGCACAGAGACAAAATCAAATTCAGAGCAAGGTATTTTACCAGGGACACAAAAGATCTTTTCATAATAATAAAAATGTCAGTTCATTAAGAGAATATAGAAATCATAAATTAGTCTATCCCTATTAATGAGTTTCAAAATACATGAAGCTAAAACTAATAGAAGTGCAAGGAGAAATAAACACATAATTATGTAGTCAAAGATTTTAATATTTGTATCTATTTTCAATCATTACTTTAACAGGACAAGAAGACAGAAAATCAGTAAGGATGTAGAAAACTTGAGCAACACAATCAACCAACTTGACCTAGTTGATAATTACAGAACACTCAATCTAACAATAGCAAAATAAATATTGCTTTTTGAGTGCACATGAGCTATTTGCTAAGAGTGATCATATTCTGGCCTCAAGTTAAGTCTCAACAAAGTTAAAAAGATTCAAGTTGTAAACATCACGGTCTTTCCCTAGGAATAGAGCTTGCACACCACAGAATTGATGAAATAGGTTAAAAGCACCCACAATCTTGATTCTGAAGACCACGTAGTCCAACTGTGCCACTACATGGATAAGAAGACTGAGGCCCAGAAAAAAGAGGCTTTCTTCCCAAGGTCACATACCAAGTGACTGTTACAGAACCTCATCTGAAATCCCCAGACTCTCAGGTCGGGGTTCATCCAGTCAGGGTTTGCTGCGTTGTTCTTTAATTTTCAACACATGCCTTCTGGAGAAGGCTTACAAACAACAGCAACAACTATGGTCTTTGACCTCAAATGGAATTTAAACAGAAATCAACAATAGAAAGATCTCATAAAAATCCACATTATCTGGAAACTAAATAAACCCTGGGTTAAAAAAGAAATCAAAAGGATAATTAGAAAGTATTTTGAACTGAATGAAAATGTAAACACAATATATTGAAACTTGTAGAATGTCACTAAAGCAATACTCGTGGAACAAGTATTTTTGTCACCTATATGTATTGCCTATATTAGAAAAAGTAAAAGATTTTTAAATTTTAAAAGGCTTCAGCTTTCATTAAAGAAATGAACTAGAAAAAGAAGAGCAAATTAAATAAGCAGTAAGTAGAAGCAAGAAAATAATGAAGATCAAAGTGGAAATCAATAAAAGAGGAATCCGAGAAACAATAGAGGAAAATCACTGAAACAAAAAGCCAGTTCATTAGGAAGATTAAGAAAATTGCTAACCCTCTAGTCAGACTAAGAACAAGTTATATTTTGACCAATTCCATTCCAAAATATAAATCAGCCTCAGACACGTACACAAAAAAGAAATATAATTATTTTAAGTTTGTGAATTTAAAATATCCTAAAATTTCTATCTGTGAACAATTTGTGGTGAATTCATAGCATCTGAACTTTCTTGCTTATTATTGGTGTTGCCATATTTATCAAAGAAAATTAGAGAATGTTCAGCTAAATTTGAAGTTCAGATAAACAGCAAACATTTTATTACTAAAAACATGTCCCACGCAGTATTTAAAAATACCTATACTTAAAAAGATGTTGTTTACCTGAAGCTCCAGTTTCATGAGATGGCCTGCATTTTATCTGGCTACCCTACTTAGGATGTGTTTGGCTGGCTGACAGGTTGATTGCTGCTGAGTTCTTATGAGTCTCTAGATGTCTGAGCAACACCAATGTGTACAATAACCACTCTAAACTATGACTTAGGCTTACACATTTCCACTACCCATGAGTGGCAAGGATAACGTATCATTAGTTCTTCTTCAATGACATAATATCTAATATATGCTACTTATCTTTTACTGATTTATAACTCACTAAATCTTATTGGAAGAGTGAGACAATAAAAGTCATCAGTTCAAGGGATTCATGTAAGGAAATAAAGTTTAGTGAAATAGAAATTTAAAGAATTTTTCATAGATTTTGATGCCTAATATTATTTATCTCTGACTCATTGTATACTTATGAAAAATATATTCATTATGTGAGCAGATTAGGAAAATGTCATAACAGTATTCAGTCAGGGAAAATAATCATAAAAAGTGATGTCTGATTTCCCTTCTTATTCAAACTTCCAAGATCAACAGAATGTGAAGACATATTCCATGAAGCATCTATTGTTATGGCATTATACATTATTAAATATTTGCAAACTACATATTTAATAATAGAGAATTATTAGTGTATTATATGATTCTGTCACACCATGATATGATAAACAATAATTAAAATTGTATTTTCAAAGAATACATAAATGTATGGTAAAAGTACATTATCTCTTATTAGGTGACATAGAGTAAACTACAGTATGAATAGGATTAACAGTATGATCTTAATTATGTAAAAACACGGATATGCATATAGAATATGTGAATGTAAATATGCATACATTATATAAAATATTACATTCAAACATGTAGGTGGTGTGCATACATGTGGTGAGAGACAATCCTCCTTGAATATCTTACATTTCTGCATGATCTGGTTCCCCTGAGCCAAAAGAACTGACAATCTTTTTAAAAAAATGTTTGTTATTAAAAGATTCTTGGAAACTAGAGATAGTTTTTTCTTCTGCATCAGAGGGCAGAGGAATGTAATAAAGATAGAGTATGCTTCCCATGCCCCTGACGTTCTATGACATTTAGTCTTCCTCTTCTGCTTCAAAAAGAATTGCTTACAATCTGAAGTAAAGCTAAGATCACTCTTTCTCTAGGGAAGGAAAGTTGAGCAGGTCATCAGCAACCCTATACTAGATCAAAGTGTCCTAATTTGGGAGTACCTCTACGGGAGTACAGCTCTCTGCATGCACAGGTACAATCTGGCCATTATTACATGCCCTTGTGGTGAATGGGGTTTGATAAACTGAAGAGACTGCTTTGGCTTCTGTTTCTACCATAAGTAATAAACAGTCTTTGTCTCCAACCAAGGGCCCTAGTGTTTCCTGTCAATATGTATAAATAAAATTGTGGCAGGCTAACTTTTTATCTTGTAAGTAGGATAAAATCTCATCTCACAGTTTCTGATATAACAATTTGTTTATAATATGAGTGTATTAGTCATTTTTGTAGAGTATCAACTGCTCAAAATCTCAGTGACTTATTCCTTAACACACTATATGTCAACATCTGTGAGTAGCTGGTGCTTCCCCCTTCTATATGTCTTCCTACTCTGCATCTACAGCAAAGGAAAAGGCTCTATATGAGACATGTTGGTCTTGTGGCAGGGAGAAAACAGATGGTAGAGACATACAATGGCTCTTAAGGCTGGATGTGTTAGGTGTAGGTATGTCCCCATGCCACTGGACAAACCAAGGTTCATGGACAAACACATCAATGGGATGGAGATGTATATGTATTGCACATGAGGTATAGCAAGTCAAGGGTCAATAAATCTTTTTACAGGAAGAAAGAATGTGTATTTGGGAAGAATAACACAAACTACATATTTCATTTTTGCCATATTTTGAATCAAAATTCACATATATAAACATACTCAAATAATTTTATAGGAAAATTACTAACATGAAATACAGAAAAATATTAACAGCTGTTTTCCTTTTGATGGGAAATTATTATTGACAAGTATTTTTCTACTTTGAATATTTTATATATTAGTTTTATATAATGCACATATTTTGTTATATATATTTTATATATTAGTTATATATTGTTATATATAATGCACATATTTTGTTATATATATTTTATATATTAGTTATATATTGTTATATATATTTTATATATTAGTTTTATATAATGCACATATTTTGTTAAATGCTTTTTAAACAATGTCATCATTTAACAGATTTCAAGATATTTTTGATTAGAAATAACATTTGAAATTTTATATTTTACTGACCATAGAGTGAGAGCCAAGGTAAATATTGACTCTCGCTTTGGGTCAATAAATTCTGATCCATTGCTCAAGAGAAGTCAATATCTACTTTATTGTTTCTCTAGACTCCAAATAGGAACTTTGATAGATGTCTTTAAATTTTCTCTCAAGTTTCTGATGGGATGTGTTTAGCAACTACTATAGCTGCTGAAAAGTTGTGCAGTTAATCATTAGATAGATCCTCCTATCTTGAAAATAAATGAACCAATAATTAGTAAAGAGATGAACTGCTCCACTTTCTTCTTCAATCACATATCAGTGTATGAAAATAAACTAATGCACAAGAGGAAATTAACCATTCTAAAGGTTTTTATTACTAGAATCTAACATTCTAATGATTTCCTGAAATCTAATAGACATAAATTATTCCAATATTATTTTTATTTTTATCTTATTTGATTAATGTAGCTACCAAGAGTTTCTCTGTGATGATAGGGCATTAGATAAAAGTAAATACATATAGTATATCTGACTCTTCTGATTCCAAAATTGTTCATCAAAAAAACATGCACACACACACACAAAGACAATTTGGGATAGGTAGAATTATTTTTTCTTAGGAACACTCTTACAAAGTAGTTCACAGATATCACAGACTAAAATTGTAAAAAATGGTTTTGAAGCTTATAGTGATTATTTTGATGTTTATTATTTCAACAGTTATCATTTATTTGTTTAGAAAACAACTTGAGGTTGCTTGAGGGGGAGTTACTAAAACTCAATTTAAGTTACCTTGAAGATATTAATTGTCATATTATTGGTTACTCTTAAACCTAAAAAAAGTTTTTTCATAAACAATTTCATTAAGAAACAATAATGTTTCCATTTAGTAGGATTTTAAAATTAATTAGATTGCTTAAATTAATTGTTTAAGTGTTTTAAACTTGCTTATTTGCACAAGTTTTAAAATTTTTTATTTAGATAATTTTCATTGCCTACTGGTGCAATGACCTATAGTTGGTTTTGTTATCATTAGGTTAGGCAAGTTACTGAACATAGGAATTAGAAGGTTGACTATCATGAGAACACATGGTACTGATAGCCAGTGAGAATAAGTTACATTGAGAATAACTAACATGCAGTGTATGCCTGTAACACAAAACATATGCCAGGTTGAACTCTGATTTTAGGCCTTACTATCGGCTGCATTCCTCTGCCTCAAACATGCCTGTTCTTATCCGAGGTAACACCTACTGAGTTTCCTGGATTTAGCTCAAACATAAGGTCTTCCAGGATCCTGTGACTGACAAATTCCCTTTCACAATGGATCCCCAGTGCCCTTTCTAAGTGTTACTATGTCTTCACTTAGCTCATGTACTTCTATTTATCAAACATTTTTCATACTCATTGTAATTGGATTCTTACTGATTGTTAATTTTTCTGCTAGTCCATCAAGAATAAAAGCTCTATGTGGAACATAACTGGATAATATTTGTCTTTCCATTTAAATATTTAAACTTTGCCTTTAACAAGATGACTTGTCAATATGTGATAGTTGAATGTCAGTCAAATGATACAAGTTGTACTTCAAGGTTAAAAGGCAATGTAGATCAGAGGTTATAAACAAAAGTAATATAGGCTGCCTAGATTTGACTCCCAAATCTGCTCATTGTTAGTCATGTGACCTTGGGCCAGTTGTTTAATATTTCTGTGTCTTAGTTTCTACATCTATAAAATAACAATTTATATTATTAGAATGTTACAAAGATTATACGTGTTAACATGTGTAAAGCACCTAAATCATTTCATGAAACATAATGTTTTCTAATGTATGGATGCATTTACTATTCTTATGTTAAAATTTTTATAATCCAAAAAGATAAGATTGAACTTGCAAATATTCCAACTCATGTCAAACATGGGACACAAAATGAATCTAATTTCTGAAACATCATGTTGGTGACTATATTCAGCATTTATATTATTATCTTTCTGAATGGTTTCCTGCCTGGCTCATATTTACCAGAGTAATGATACTTATACAACTGAAAATGCACACTAAAATAACCAACTTATTTGGTAAATACTTCCAGAATGCCCATATACATCAATTGCTCTTGTATACCTCGAGGATAGAAGGGTGAACAAAGAAGTTTCATACTCTAATGGAGCTTACATTCTAGTAAGAGAACATTAAACAACAGAAATAAGTAAATATTTCAGAAAATATCAGATAGTGGTAAGTGCTTTGTAGAAAATTAAAATACACTAATGAGATAGAGATCATTCATGTGGCTACAATAGTTTGAGATATCAGGGAAGGATTCTGTGGTAAACTGACATTTAACAAAGATCTGAATGGCAAGAAGGAGCCACCTTTCCAAAGTCAAATAGAAGTGTATTCTATGCAGAGAATAGTTTTGTGAAGACCTAAATCTGGGAAGAAGCTTGTGATAGTCAATGAACCAAAAGAATTCCAGTAATTTTGGAACACAATAATTAAGGGAGAGAGTGGTTCAGTGTGAATTCTGAACATTTAGCAGGAGCCAGGATATGTGTGGATTTTAAGTCTGTAGAGTATGACACAACATTAAACCATTAGTTACATTATAGTGTGGAAAACAGAAGTCAAACAGAGAAGCAGGAGGATGACTGAAGTGACTTCTTACCATGATCTTGCTAAACAATCTTGGTGACCTGAATTAAAATAACTGTAGTTGGAATGATAAGAAGTACATGGATATATACTGGAGGTGGGTCTACATGACTTATTTATTGGTTGGAAATGAAAAGAGAGTAAACAAACATAATCGCAGTGTATTAGTCCATTCTTTCCTGCTAATAAAGACATACCAGAGACTGGATAATTCATAAAGAAAAAGGGGTTTAGTGGACTCACAGTTCCACATGGCTGGGGAGGCCTTGCAATCATGGCAGAAGAGCAAGAAATGTCTTACCTGGCAGCAGGCAAGAAGAGAATGAGAGCCAAGCAAAAGGGGAAACCCGTTATAAAATCATTAGATCTCCTGAGACTTTTTCACTACCATGAGAACAGTATGGGGGAAACACTCCCCATGATTCATTTATCTCCTACCGGGTCCCTCCCACAAGATGTGGGAATTATGGGAGCTACAATTCAAGATAAGATTTGGGTGGAGACAGAGCCAAACCATATCACATGGTTAGAATGATGATTTTTGGTTTAAGCTAAAACATAGACTGTGGTATCCTTACTGAATTGGGAGGCTGAGGCAGAAGCAAATTTGAAAACTAAAGGTAATGGGTGCAGCACACCAACATGGCACATGTATACATATGTAACAAACCTGCACATTGTTCACATGTACCCTAGAACTTAAAGTATAATAAAAATATATATATTAAAAAAAAAAAGAAAACTAAAGGTAAAAGCTCCCTTTTGGTTACATTAAGTTTGAGCTACTTAGTATGCATCCTTGCAGAGATGGCATAGACAGCTAGATGATGAGGCTAGAATTCTGATGAGAGCTCAGGGCTTAAAATTCAGATTTGGGAATCAGATCAAGTCTTAATATTCAGAAATGGGAGTTATCAACATACTACTTCGGTACCTAAGCTGTTGTTCCTTTATTCTGTTAAAAAGAATGTTATTCATATCTAATTTATTTCAAGTCTTTGTTTTAATTTCATATAAATGTAGGCTTGTTCCTGGTATCTAAGAGAGTTAATATAATATCAAACATTGCTCTCCTTTTATAATTCGAGTACCTTACATCAAAGCAAGTATACTTCAATTTGAGATATTTTTTCACTATGACATTTTATCAATAGTCATCTAACAACTAAGCATTTTCAGATATGAGAAGGAAATAGATAATTCTAAAGTTACCTGTGACAGGTACTGTATTAAAATGATTAATGAGCTCATCCTGTTTTCAGTTCATCACGAGCTTCAATTCATCATTGTGGATTGCCATTAAGATTACTAAAAATTCTACAGAAGAATGCTTATATGTAAGCTCAACGATCAACTCTAGTCTTGCAGGTGCATCATTTGAAATATGATTTCACTATACTGAGAAAATGCCTAATTTATTTTTCATGTACTCTCAAAATTAGATAATAGGCTATCTAAGACTCCTTTTCTGATCAGAGTCCCAAATAAAGATGCACTTTCTCCAAATCCAGAAGTAAAAGAATGGCCTATTTCAATATAATTTAAGTTGCTGGTTTGCAATAAAAATGAGACTGGCATTTGAGCTAATCACATTTTTCTCCATATATTATTCATTTGGCAATTATTGCCATCATCTACAGATTCTTGAGGAAGAAATATAGAAAAACATGTTGGGAGAGAATTGGAAAGGAGGAGGCATTTTGAAATACAAAATTAAAGAAAAAGAAAAAGTTGAGGATGTGTGGTGGTACAAAGGAATAAGAGGTAATTTTTAGGTAGTTATTTCTGAGGGAAGTTTTTGGAGGAGTGGATGGGCACTGCATCAGGGTGCTTAGGAAAGACAGAGAGCTGAGTAAGAATTTAGCATTAGGAAAAATAGAAAAAACAAAACAATCTTTAAAAAGTCTTTCTGGTACTCTCCAACCATTGCATAACAAATAATATTTACATATAAATTTCTTGGGCTTTAAAATGTGTTTGGGAGATTTACTTAAAGTGTACTATGTTGCCTCACCTAGTGAACTCATTTGCTACTACCCAATTGGGTAGCAATCATAGAACTTGCCCACGTCAGGTGGGGCAAAATGATCCATGTTTTTGAGACATGTAATTTAACTTCATTCTTATATTTGACTAAAAAAAAAAAAGATGGTACTTATGAATTAAAGGCAGTGTAAAATGAATACTTTTACTGGGTTAGCATTACCATTCTCACTTTCCAAGAACTTACGAGTTCTGTTTCTATGTGCCCCACCACTTGTTTGACACTTGTTTGGTGTCTTTCAAACAGGAACACCACACTCACTCACTATGCCATATATTGGACAGTTACACTTAAGTGGCAAAATATTTTCCGTTTTGACTCTCCTGATTATGTTCCTGTTGAAGCAGTTTAAAATGTGATAATCTTAGAAAGAAATACTTTGTTTTCTATAATTGCCTTTAGAGAAATACCCTTTTTCATGATAGTATCACTCTATGCATTAGAAACTAAATCTGTTTGCTTCATGAGAACAGTGGTAAGGATAGCAAAGGGGTATAAAAATTAACTGCTAGTTTCTAAGCAATAACACTAATACCACAATGAAACTCAAACTGTTAGATTTTGGCAACTAATTTGACAGTTACCAGCAAGTGATCCTCATTTTTCCTGACATCCCATTTCTGTCTCTGTTCCTATCACCTACCACTGTGAATTTATAATTGCTAACAAAGCATTGCAGTACATTTGCCAGATTTAAATGGATTTCATGGCACGCTATGCAATTACATGCCCTTTTTTCAAAGGCTAAATGTGTGTCATCTCCACAAGTCACCACATGGCAACAGACGGCAATATTTGAATGATTGGTCTACTAAGTTAGTGAAGAGTGCCATTCTGCTCTCAGATACTTCTGCTTAGACTGGGGAAATTAGTCTACAATGGGAAAGAAATAAAGGACTTTCATTCTGTCCATTTAATTTTCTACTAGAGTTGCAACAAGTCATACAATTCTTTTGAGTGTAATGAAGACGGACAACAATAACCTGATTTTAGGGGCTAGTCATATAAACACTCTCTTACATCTCTTAATTTATAACATAACATATTAGGACTTCAAAGTTCCCTTTATAGATACCATGTTCTAGTTGTTCCATATTAAAGGTTAAGGAGTCCCATGTATCTGCCAGAAGAGAATCAGTAAGAGCTTCAGCAATAGACAGGTGTTGCAGTAACCAAAAAAATTTTAGAGCTAAAAGTGTATAGAGAAGCTTACATCAGACCTCATTCAATTATTTGTACATAAAACCTTACAAGTAGGGCCAGAGATCAGAGCTTGGGACAATGTGTCAAAACCAGTTTCCTGATTTGCTCTTCTCTTAGGCAGTAACATTTCCTTGTTCATTATTTGAGGGTTCATCAGAGCCACAAATTGAAGTGTTATTACTTGCATACATTACTCTCAAATTGACTTTGATGTTAAGCTGGGACTTCTCATGCCATTATCATTGCCAGAAAAAAGGTCAAATTTCTTCCTCCATTCATCCCCAGGGAAGTAACACAAAATAGAAACACTCACAGCTAGCTAGGCACAAGCAACCCTGCTGGTCCTTGATGGTCCCTGACTGTGGATCACCAGCTGCTTGAAAATATGTATAGAGAAATTACCCTCTTTTGCTTTTTCTTCAACCTTGGAAATGTAGCTATAGAGTAACCCTAGTACATAGTTCCAATTTATACCAGTAAGAACATAATGTAATATGACTGGTGTCCTTATATGAAGAGGAAATTGGACACAGACATATAGAGAGGTGAGATGACTGGGAGAATATTGCCATCTACAATCCAGGAGAGAGACCTTGAATACATTCTTCCCTGCTGGCTCCCACAAAAAGCCAACATTGCAGACATTTTGACTTCCAGCCTCCAGAACTGTAAAAAAATAAATTTCAGATGTTTAAATCATCCAATCTGTGGTAACTTGTTAAGGCAGCCCTAGCAAACAAATACACACCAATTTATTCCATTTTTCTTTCCTCGATCATGATTTTGGCATTTTATCTAAAAAACTAGTACCACACCTTAATCAGCTAAATCTTTTTCCCCTGTTTTATTTTTTTCTATTATTATTTCTATTTTTTCTTTCAGTAATTTGAAGATTTCAATTTGCATAACAAAAGCTTCCATCCTGGCTTTTGAACTTTAGGTTTCTCCAGACATACTTGTTTTGTTAAGAAGTATGCTAGTGCGTAAAGCCCCAAATCAAAGGTCAAACAGTGCACTTGATCTCTCAGGTCACCTGTTTGGCCCTCTTCCAAGTCTACTTTAGTTCCTTTCATTTCTGTTCTAAAGCTTTTTAATAAACTTTCACTCCTGCTCTAAAACTTGCCTCATTCTCTCCTTCTGTCTTATGCCCCTCAGTGGAATTCTTTCTTCTAAGGAGGCAAGAATTTACGTTGTTGCAGACCTGTATGTGTTCGCCACTGGTAACATACTTTGGTGCCAGGTGACTCAGATACATTCTGCCGCTAACAGAACCATATACAAAATTGCAGCTATCTATGTTCAAACTACTAAAAAAAGAAAAAAGAAAAAAGAAAGAAAGGCAATTTGTTATGCTTCCACCTAATAGGTTGTCTTTTCTTTAACTCTTTAACATGACTCATAAATTTTCACTCTGAGATGTATTTGACAGGATTTACTTTTATTTCTCCTAGACATGTATTATTTCCTTTTTCTGAAAATTTGTTTACTTTCAGTTATAAAAATCTTTAGCTGGGTGTGGTGTCTCACGCCCGAAATCCCAGTACTTTGGGAGGCCAAGGCAGGTGGATCACCTGAGGTCAGGAGTTTGAGACCAGCCTGACCAACATGTAGAAACCCCATCTCTATTAAAAATACAAAATTAGCCAGGCTTGGTGGTGCACGCCTGTAATCCCAGCTACTCAGGAGGCTGGCTGAACCCGGGAGGTAGAGGTTGTGGTGAGCCGAGATCCTGCCATTGCACTCCAGCCTGAGTGACAAGAGCAAAACTCTGTCTCAAAAAAAAAAAAAAAAAAGCTATCTTTAAATATTCTCTCTCCACATTCTATTATCTCCTTCTAGATCTCCATTAGCTAAGAGAACTTCTTCCCCATCTTCTATGTATTTTAACCTTTCTTTTATATATTCTTTTCATTTCATCTAATTGTGTTGTATTTTGTGTAATTGTACAATCTGATATTTCCTCCATTGAGGGGTACTCTCTCCCTAATTAGTTTTATTGTTTTTTTTTTTCTAAGAGATCCCTTTGTCCTCAGTCAAAACTACCTGGTCATTTTTTTCCAGTCATCTGTTTCTACTCATAATTTCAATGTCCTCTTTTCACTTTTTTATATGCAGATATTATATTTTGCATCTGATGATTTCAATACCTGAATTCTTTTTAGGAAAGGTTGTGTTGTCTATTGTTTCTGTGGTGATTTTTCTGGTGATGATTTTTGATGTAAAGTTCAATGAAACTTTGTGTGAAATTCTTTGAGATCTATTTTGAATACGACATTCTGCAGAGAAGAATTGGATCTCCTTCTTCCATGCAGCTCAAGGGTCTACCAACGAGGAACCAATCTACAACAAATTTCAGCTTGAGGTTTCTCAGGTCATAACTGTTTTGTTAATTTTGCCAATAAAAATAAGCTATGTAGGTCAAGCAGTATTATGTTTTAAGGGAAAAATATTATTGCAATATAGGTGGCTCTGAATTTGCACATTATGAGAAGATATTTTTAGTTAGAGCTAAGTGAGCAAGAGGAAGGATATAGGAAACAATTTAGAATGGTGGTGAGGTAGGATGTCAGATTATTTAGTTCTTGCAGGTGTTTATAAGATTTTTCCCCCTATTTTAAGCAAGATAATACTTGGCAAGTTTGGAGGCAGTAACATTAATGTCAGCCTTTAATCTTTAGATACTCCTACATTGTACAGAATAAACTCATGCAAGAGCAAGTGTGAAAGGAGAAATGCCAGTTAAAGGTTTGTAATAATCTCTGTCAGAAATAGCAGTGAATTTAGACCAGAGTGTTAGCAATAAAAGAGTGGAGGTGGTCAGAATCTATATATATTGTAAATGTAGACTTTACAGATATTTGCTGGTAGATTGGATGTAGAATACGATGAAGTTTGTGAAGTCAAGAATGACTAAGTTCCTGGGCCTGGTAACAGGAAGAATAAATTTGCCACTAACTGAGAGACAAAGTCTGTAAGAGAAACCAATTTGGGGAAACAGAGCAGTAGAAAAGGAGATTTTTAGGCATGTTAATTTTGAGGTAGTATTAGATATATGCATTAGGAAATATTGAGTATAAAGTTGAATATACATCTCTGGAGTTCAGGAGATAAGTCTGTGCTGGAGACATAAATTTGGAAATTATCAGAATGGAAACAATATTTGTAACTGTGAGCCTAGATTAAATATCTCAGATATAGACCCGGAACAATCTATGTTTAAAGGTCAGAAAAATGGGAGACATCAGCACAAAATTTTTAGAAAAAGTGGAAAGTGATGCAGGGGAAGAATTATGCATTGGAAGAATTCAATGAAGAAAATAGTTTAAAAAGAGCCCCCCAAAATATGTGCATCTATTATGTATCAATAAAAATGTCCCCCTAAAAGTGAGAAGCAAGTGATCAACCATATCAGAGGATAAATAAAATAAAAATAAAATTTGTATTTTAAAAGAAAAAATGACTCTTATGTCTCTTTTGGTAGAGTTGTAAGATTAAAAGCATAAAAAGAATATTGATATGTTTCATATAACCTTACCAAAAACATGTTTTACTTTTCTTATATAATATATATAGAGAGAGTCATTTTCCCTCTTATCTCATTTTAATTACCATATATTAATCAGAATTTTAACTCTTAACCCTAGTAAGAACTTTTTAACTGTCAGTGAAACCACCTTTGCATAATTATGACTGAGACAGTGAAAGAGATCTGACTTAACCGACTCCATCTTGCTTCTAATCTCCAAGTGGTTCTTATTCATTCCTGAACAAAGGCTAAATTAACTTTAGGAGAAACTTGGTTTATAGTTTAAAACAAAGATGATAACAGCCCTTTCCCAAAGCAGATCTTCTTCTTGCTTGGTGTCTAGATTGCCTTTGTAGGACTAACATTAGGTACAAGATTAGAAATTATGGTTTAGGAATCATGCAGCTGGAGGCTACACGATTCTGACCCTCCCTAAACTGCTCCTAAGATCAGTGTTTGAGATATTTTGCAGACCCTGCACTTGACGGATCAGCTGGCACCACCCAGATTGATAAACTGTCTCATCTGATCTTGTGGCCCCCAAGGAACTGACTCAGCACAAGAAGACAGCTTTGACTCCCTATGATTTTATCACTGACCAATCAGCACTCCTGGCTCACTGGCTGTCCCCTACCCATTGAGATGTCCTTAAAATCTCTGATCCCCAAATGCTATGGGAGACTGATTTAAATAATAATAAAACTCTGGTCTCCCATACAGCAGGATCGGAGTGAATTACTCTTTACTGTCACTCCCCTGTCTTGATAAATCGGCTCTGCCTAGGCAGCATGCAAGGTGAACCTCTTGGGTGGTTACATCAGTTGCATGTCAACAATTTATGAGTACACATTTTATAATATCTAGAAACATAGGCTTTCTAATGAAACATTTTTTCCAAGAATAATTAGAGATATTGAATATTAATATTTTTTTAGGACGGTAGCCACAAAGAACAGAGAAATGGGACAGTAGCTCTAAGGGATGCATGTCAAGGGAGGTTTTTTTTAATAGAAAATGTTGTAAGTTTTTATGCCAATGAGTATAATCCAAGAGAAAGGAAAGAAGGAAAAAGAGAAAGCAAAGCAATAAGGCAGAAGAAAAAGGCGGCAGCAAGAACCCAACTTTTCACAGAGTTGTGCATTTTTCTCCAGCCACTTTCAGCTGTTCAGGCACAGGTTCAGAGTGGGCCATTAGTTAGTTTACTCCACATAGTTGCTCAGCATACAAACTGAGTAAAACAGTGGTAGAATGAGGGAAATAAGTTGAGGAATTATGCAAGGGAGTGAGTATAATGATATGAATGAAACCTAAGTTAGATAAGGAAGGATTGGCGATGTGAGGTTTGTGAGGATAGTATGAAATCAATAATGAAGGATATAGTAGAGACAAGTGCTTGTTCATCTAAGTATTAACACAAAAAGTAGGAAATATGATACTATAAAGCATGACTGAAAGATAAAAGGTGAAGTTAGAGGCATGGGATGTTTAAAGTTAAGATTGGGAATAAAATGCACTTATTAATATTAAGTTGGGAGCTCATGTAAGAGGTCAATCATAGCATAAGATCATTACTAAAGAATTAAAGAAGGATGAGAGTGAAATTACATGAAGATTGAATTTATCAGAATTTATGGCAGCAATTGTGCTAAAATCCTAAAGAATTGAAAGAAGTGACCCAGTGCTTTGCAGATAACTACAAAAAAGAGGAGAAATGGGTGGTGGTGTCTTACTGACCTGCTGAAACTGAAAATTAGGGAAATTGTTATTTTATTAGGAATATGACATATGGAGGCCTGGCACAGTGGCTCACATCTGTAATCCCAGCATTTTGGGAGGCTGAGGTGGGTGGATCACGAGGTCAGGAGTCTGAGACCAGCCTGGCCAGTATAGTGAAACCCCACCTCTACTAAAAATACAAAAAAAAAAAAAAAAAAAAAAAAAATTAGCCGGGCGCGGTAGTGGGTGCCTGTAATCCCAGCTACTCAGGAGGCTGAGGCAGGAGAATTGTTTGAGCCCGGGAGGCGGAGGTTGCAGTGAGGCGAGGTCACGCCACTGCACTCCAGCCTGGGTGACAATATGAGACTCTGTCTCAAACAAAAAAAAAGACACATGGTTTCTTTTCATATTTTAACATTACTTAAATTGAGATTTATCTTACAATTTATGGCATCTTACAATCACTGTCAGTCAGGCAGCCATTCTGACCTAATATTCATGCTTTTTATATAAAAAACTTCCTTATAGTTCCTGATTGCACAAAAAGTGGTATATAAATGTTTCGTTGACTAAAACATGAAGAGGTTTTAGTCAACGAAACATTTGTATACCACTTAAACAAAGAATGCAATTCCTGGTTGTTGTTAGAAAACCAATTCATACTTTGTAGTAAGATCAAGAAAGCCTCAATAGCAAACTTCCAGAATGGGTGTCAATACTCTAACGTAAAATCCTCCAGTGGATCACTCTTTCAGGAAAACCATATGAAAAAAATGCTCAATATCACTAGTCATTAGGGAAATGCAAATCAAAACCACACTGAGATACCAAACTTACACTAGTCAGAATGGCTATTATTAAGAAGTCAAAAAATATCACATGCTGACAAGGTTGTGGAGAAAAAGAAAAGCTTATATACTGCTTGTGGGAATGCAAATTAGTTCAGCCACTGTGGAAAGCAGTTTGAAGATTTCTCAAAGAACTTAAAACAGAGTTACCATTTGACCTCAAAATCCCCTTACTGGGTATATACCAAAAAGGATATAAATCATTCTACCATAAAGATACATGAATGCATATGTTCATCACAGCACTGTTCACAATAGCAAAGATGTGGAATCAACCTATATGCCCATCAATTGGATAAAGAAAAAGTGGTACATGTATACCATGGAATACTTTGCAGTCATTAAAAAGAACAAAATCATATCCTTCGCAGCAACATGGATGGAGCTGGAGGCCATTATCTTAAGCAAATTAACACAGGAACAGAAAATCAAATATCGCATGTTCTCACTCATAACTGGGAGCTAAACAGTGAGTACACATGGACCCAAAGAAGGAAATAATAGACACCAGGGCCTACTTGAGGATAGAGGGTGGGAGAGAGTGAGAATTGAAAAACTACCTGGGGTATTATGCTTATTATTTGCATGAAAAAATTATTTGTACAACGAATCCCCATAACAATGCAATTTATACATTTAATAAACCTGCATATGTACCCCTTGACCCTAAAACAAAAGTTGAAAAAAAAAAATAAACCAAAAAGGAAACGCTGTATCACAGTTGCAGCCCCTACCGCTAGGGTAGGGCCCAGTGCTCTGGACGGCACACTGGCGCCCATCGTGTGGAAAAATTTAGACTGTAATTTCTATGAGTGGAAAAGAGAATTGAAGTCCAATCTTCAATTGTTTGGAATTGTATAAAAACATATTAAATAACTATTTGATTTATATTTTGCTTTTTATGTTTGAATGAAAATAATATATGATAAAAATATGTGTTTACCCTAAAACCATTCTTTAATAAAATTAAAATAAAAGCTGTAAGAGATAAGAAAGTATTGTTTCATAGCTTAATTGGCAGGGAAATGTTTTCCTTCATGGCTATGAAGATTACAAGTGATCATGTAAAACACACACATTGATGATTTTTTTTAAAATGTACTTAGCACATACTAAAGATTCAGGATGAGCTGTCATTATAAGAGGAGATGGTATAATATTTCTGGCCCTAGTCTTTATATCACCACTTTACTTCCTCTATCTTTTACCTCACCAGCTAAGGTATCTGCATTCTAATAAGCTCTCCAGGTGCTTCTCTAAAGTTTGAGAACGTCTTGCTCAGACTATCAGGCTTAAACAAGTCTTCCTTCTTTCTACTTTTTCCCTCTCTCTGAATGATCAAACTGGTGGACTTTCTCTTCTGGTCACTTGCCTTCTGACAGTAGATAAAGGTACAGGAAGTAGACAGTGAAAGACTCGGGGGCACACCTTGTTTTAATGCAGTGATCTGTCTCACCAGAGAAACTACAGCCCCATTGAATGCTGTAGACTCTGATCAATCAAGTAGCAACTCTTCTTGAAGGGAGGAGCTGGTAAGGTAAAAGATAGAGGTAAAGTGGTAATATAAAGACTAGGGCCAGAAATATTATACCATCTCCTCTTACAATGATAGCTCATCCTGAATCCTCAGTATGTGCTAAGTACTTTTCTTAAAAAAATCATCAATGTATGTGTTTTACATGATCACTTGTAATCTCCAAAATATGCCTACAGTGAGGTAATATTATTGTTTTCAATTTAAAGTAATTGAGCCTTAAAAGAAACTATATATTAATATTTACAGTTGAATATGAGTATAATTTGATATTTGGGACTGTATTGCTAGGAAAAAACTACACTGTAAATAACTGACTCAGATGGCACTGAACAATTATTTACATTCTCTTTCTTTTCCTTTTAAATTCCTGATTAAATTGTTTAATCAGACTATTGATAAACAAAATAACTTTTTTAGTGTTATATTAAGACTAAATATACCTCCATATATTATAAATTGAAATACTTTTGTTGCAAGCAATAGAAATAGACTCCATCTAACTTAGTTAAGAAGAAGTTTATTGGAAAGATATGAGCCTGGCTCACATAATCAAAGAGGCAGCTTAAGAACTATGTTCAAAAAGAGAGCTAGCCCCAGAGATCCAGGTAGCTGAAGCTAATTGGCTCTTTTATGGGCACTTGCTTTGTGCTTCTCTATTATGTATCTGCCTCTTTTCTGTATGTGAGAGCAGAGAATCGTCACTGACAGCCTCTCCCAGGTCATACACAGAGAGGAAGTAGAAATTCACGAAGGAAACTGAGGTGTTATACAGGACAGCAATGCATGCCAAAGTAGTAAAAACAACAAATACCCACTGCACTGTATTTACTCTCATGTTTGTTCAGCTATAACTTGGGTCCTAATTTCTGGGTTTACAAGAGTGAAGGAATGAATTATATGTTCTTTCCTTCATTCAATAAATGTATATTGCAAGCCTAAAAGAAAGAATAGCAACTTCGAATATGAAAGTGAAAACATTTCAGTGATCCAGTTTGCAACATAGCAGCAGCAACAATAAATCACTGCATTAATTAATGAGTTGAAGAGTATAATCAGTGCTCCCAAGGAAGGTTTATGGTGCTATTACAGAGAACAAGGGGTGATAGGAAACCTAGGTCCTAATAGAGGTTCCTTAGGAAAAGATTCTCTCAGTAGGAGATAAATTAACAGATATATTGATCATAAAAATATAATATAGGAAAGTTTTAAAGTTAATATTGTTATGTGTGAATTTGATCCTGTCATTATGATGTTAGCTGGTTATTTTGTAGTTAATTTTTTAGGTACTATCTCTAACTTTTTCTTCAATTTCTCTTTTATCAGTTTGGATATTTCTTCTTGGTAATTAACTATGTTTCACCCATTTGGGCTTTTCTTCCCTCTTTCAAAGCACGTTATAGTTGCTCCTACAACATACATTTAGTGGAGCACAATAGGTTAAAAGTACAAAGAACATTTCTTCCAATTTCTGCAGAGAGCTGCTGATTGATAGCTGACAGTTTTTGCTGTATTGTAATGTCCCTTTTATCCCAGCTCTATAGTTGCAGTAAAAAATGTTTTTGTGTGGCGAAATACAGTAGTATCCAGAAAGTTTATTTCTTGGGGGGTTTGTTGTTATTAAAGCCTACTGGGAAGTCAGGCCTTTTCCAGTAAAGTTGTAGTTTCCTAATGAAAAGACTTATTCTACTAAAGTGAGAGCAGAATCTCTGGGAGATTAGAGAGAGGAAGTGAAAAAGAGAGGAAAAATCCCCAAAGAATAATACAGAAATATCAATAGTGTATCAGCCAAAAATGGTACACTATTAATCAAATTAAGCAAGCAAATAAGGGATCATCATAAGACATTTTGTCTTTCAAGCACAGTGCACAGTAGTGAGTAGCAGGTACAGCTTGCTTGGTGGCTGGTAAGTGGCAGGGAAGGTTTCTAATTTCTAGGAAGCCATGCTCCCTCAGATGAGAAGGGGTAGCAGTGATTGAATAGTAAGGTTTCACCAAACAGCATTATTTTTCTCTCATAGCCAGGATTCCTAGCAGGAATGGTAACATTTAAAAGAAAACTAATTCTCACTCTAACAAAAAATAATTAGAAGGTGGGAAATATAAACTCACCCATAAAATCCAATAAGTTGAAGGGTAAATCTTTAACTCAGCTCAACAAGGGAACCTAATTTGGAATTTACCACTGTCAAAGAAGCACTTTTCAATGGACGAGGACAACTCCCAAAGCAAGTACAAATAATAGAGATCCAGAAAAATCAGAAAGAAATTTAGAAGTAAACCTCAGATTATAGCATAACAAAGGCAAAATTTCTCCCTAACAATTTAAGATAAGCCATCAAAATAAAAGTAAATAAGCCTTTTAAATTGAGACCTAAGGAAAATCAAATAAATATAAACAAGGAGGGAGGGATTTAGGAGCTCTATTTATATTATGTGGAGGCAAAGGCATTTACCAGATTCATGTCCCCATCAAAAGTGCATAAACACAAAATCACAAAATACATTGTATTAAAAATTCTACAGAAAAGTAATATAAAAGTGAAAATAAAGTTAAAACCACCTTGTAAATACCAAGAAACAATGACAAATTTGTACAATAAGTGTTTGCCATTTGCAAACAAACTGGAGAAGATTGGATTACATAGTTAAAAGACAAGAGTGAAATGAAAACTAGAACACTTAATGAAAGACATTAGGTCCAAAGTCAAACATAAATGTAAAAGTAGGGAAAATACCTGCTAAATTTTCTTATATTTAAAGAGATTTCTGAAATCAATAAAAGACAAAAAGTACGAAAATCAGAGAGAGCAATGAAATCTGCACAGAAAATAAATCGCAAATTGTTTTTAAATATATGAAAAGATTCACTTCCTCACTTATGGTAAGGTAAATACAAATGAAAATTACATAAATATAGGAATGGCTAGAGAATGTTAAAAATGTCAGTTTGACCATATAATGTATGGTCAGGCTTGGAAAAGTAGTCATTCTTATGTTTTAACTGGTAAGAATGAAAATTATTACAGCTACTATACATAAAAATTTGACATTATCTAAAAACTTATAAATGTGTATAATTTGAAATTGTTATTCTACTTTTAGTAAATTTTATTTGAAATACATTTTAAATTATGCAGAATAAAGTGGGCATGTGGTAATTTATAGAAGCATTTTTTATTTTCCTATTTTTTCTTCTTTTTTCCCCCTTTCCTTTTACTTACTGCTTTCTAAGGTATAATTTATATAATATAAAATTCATCCACTGTGAGTGGACATACAATTGAATGACTTTTAGTAGATTTACAGAGTTATTCCACATCAGGACAAATCAATTTATGAACATTTCCATCCTCTAAAACATTTCCCTTGAGCTTATTTCCATTTCCATCCTCTGAAACATTTCTCTTGAGCTTATTTGTAGTCAATAACTACTTCCACTCCAATCCTTAGGCAAACACAATTCTGTTTTCTGTCTCTATATATCTGCATTTTCTAGACCCTTAATATAATCAGAACCATACAGTATTCAGCCTTTTGCATGTTAGTATTTTCACTACACATACAGTTTTTAAGATGCTTCCATATTGCAACATGAATCATTATTTGTTCGTTTTTGTTGCTGAATAGTATTCTATTTTATGATGTACAGCTTTTGTTATACATTCGCCAGCTCATAGACATTTGGACTGTTTGAATTTTTATCATCACAGAATAATTTTTTTGTGAATATTCACATTCAAGTGTCTATAAATATCTTTTAATTTATTCTGAGTAGAAGGTTAGTAGCTAAATTGCTAAGCTATATGAGAAGTTTATATTTAACATTTTAAGTTAAATTGAAAAAATATTTTGCTAAATTAATGTATAATTATGCATTCCCACTAGCAATACATGAGCATTCCAGTTTTTCACATTATCAGAGAGGGACCTGTGGGACAAACATTCAATACACTAACATACATGAAACATGAGTGTTAGAAGTAGAGAATGGAGAAAATAGACCATAAAATATAGTATAAGAACAATGGCTGAAAACTCTCAAATTTAATTAAACATTAATCTACAAATCCAAAAAGCCCTAACTAAAATAAGTACAAAGAGTTCATAATGAAACTGCTGAACTAAAGTCATATAAAAACATGAAATTACCAACATAAAAATTAGTCATCACAGACATGGGGACAATGATTAATAGGTAACTTCTCATTAGAAACTATGAAAGCCAGAAGGTATGGAAAAATATATTCAAAATACTGGAGGAAAAAAGATTGTAAACCAAAAATTTTACATGTGAAATTACTCATTAAAAATAAAGTGCTTAATTTAAATCGTTGTATAAAATAATTTTCAGATAAATATTTAACTATGTATTTCATCGATTCTAAAATGCTCATTTATTTATATTCTAATGTCTTAGAAATCAATATATATATTTTGATCAATAATATCACCAACTGGTAGTTGGTGAGCAGTTGTGACACAGCAATTTGGTCATTTGGCAACAAGCAGAATTACCTGCTTCTCATGGCAAGACTGGATAACCACAATCCCTCATGACTTATTATGGACAATTTGAAGAACTACAACTTCTGGTTGTTATCTAAAAATGTTTCATTCGTCACATTCTCATTAAATCACAAAATAACAGCACCAAAATTTACAGAATGGGCTTAAAAGAAACCATGAAAAATAAGAGTTGATCACTTTTTTTAAAAAGAAATGGGATCCAGCAGCACATCAAAAAGCTTATCCACCATGATCAAGTGGGCTTCATCCCTGGGATGCAAGGCTGGTTCAATATATGCAAATCAATAAATGTAATCCAGCATATAAACAGAACCAAAGACAAAAACCACATGATTATCTCAATAGATGCAGAAAAGGCCTTTGACAAAATTCAACAGCCCTTCATGCTAAAAACTCTCAATAAATTAGGTATTGATGGGACATATCTCAAAATAATAAGTGCTATTTATGACAAACCCACAGCCAATATTATACTGAATGGGCAAAAACTGGAAGCATTCCTTTCGAAAACTGGCACAAGACAGGGATGTCCTCTCTCACTACTCCTATTCAACATAATGTTGGAAGTTCTGGCCAGGGCAATCAGGCAGGAGAAAGAAATAAAGGGTATTCAATTAGGAAAAGAGGAAGTCAAATTGTCCCTGTTTGCAGATGACATGATTATATATTTAGAAAACCCCATCATCTCAGCCCAAAATCTCCTTAAGCTGATAAGCAACTTGAGTAAAGTCACAGGATACAAAATCAATGTGCAAAAATCACAAGCATTCTTATACACCAACAACAGACAGAGAGCCAAATCATGACTGAACTCCCATTCACAATTGCTTTAAAGGGAATAAAATACCTAGGAATCTAACTTACAAGGGATGTGAAAGACCCCTTCAAGGAGAACTACAAACCACTGCTCAACGAAATAAAAGAGGACACAAACAAATGGAAGAACATTCCATGCTCGTGGATAGGAAGAATCAATATCGTGAAAATGGCCATACTGCCCAAGGTAATTTATAGATTCAATGCCATCCCCATCAAGCTACCAATGACTTTCTTCACAGAATTGGAAAAAAACTACTTTAAAGTTCACATGGAACCAAAAAAGAGCCCGCATTGCCAAGACAATCCTAAGCCAAAAGAACAAAGCTGGAGGCATCACACTACCTGACTTCAAACTATACTACAAGGCTACAGTAACCAAAACAGCATGGTACTGGTACCAAAACAGAGATATAGACCAGTGGAACAGAACAGAGCCCTAAAAAATAATACCACACATCTACAACCATCTGATCTTTGACAAACCTGACAAAAACAAGAAATGGGGAAAGGATTCCCTATTTAATAAATGGTGCTGGGAAAACTGGCTAGCTATATATAGAAAGCTGAAACTGGATCCCTTCCTTACACCTTACACAAAAATTAATTCAAGATGGATTAAAGACTTAATTGTTAGACCTAAACCGTAAAAACCCTAGAAGAAAACCTAGGCATTACCATTCAGGACATAGGCATGGGCAAGGACTTCATGTCTAAAACACCAAAAGCCATGGCAACAAAAGCCAAAATATACAAATGGGTTCTAATTAAACTAAAGAGCTTCTGCACAGCAAAAGAAACTACCATCAGAGTGAACAAGCAACCTACAGAATGGGAGAAAATTTTGCAATCTACTCATCTGACAAAGGGCTAATATCCAGAATCTACAAGGAACTGAAACACATTTACAAGAAAAAAACAAACAACCCCATCAACAAGTGGGTGAAGGATATGAACAGACACTTCTCAAAAGAAGACATTTATGCAGCCAACAGACACATGAAAAAATGCTCATCATCACTGGCCATCAGAGAAATGCAAATCGAAACCACAGTGAGATACCATCTCACACCAGTTAGAATGGCAATCATTAAAAAGTCAGGAAACAGCAGGTGCTGGAGAGGATGTGGAGAAATAAGAATGCTTTTACACTGTTGATGGGACTGTAAACTAGTTCAACCATTGTGGAAGACAGTGTGGCGATTCCTCAAGGATCTAGAACTAGAAATACCATTTGACCCAGCCATCCCATTACTGGGTATATACCCAAATGATTATAAATTATGCTGCTATAAAAGCACATGAACACGTATGTTTATTGTGGCACTAGTCACAATAGCAAAGACTTGAAACCAAGCCAAATGTCCATCAACAATAGACTGGATGAAGAAAATGTGGCACATATACACCATGGAATACTATGCAGCCATAAAAAAAGATGAGTTCATGTCCTTTGTAGGGACATGGATGAAGCTGGAAACCATCATTCTCAGCAAACTATCGCAAGAACAAAAAAACAAACACCGCATGTTCTCACTCATAGGTGGGAATTGAACAATGAGAACACTTGGACCCAGGAAGTGTAACATCACACACCGAGGCCTCTCGTGGGGTGGGGGGAGGGGGGAGGGAAAGCATTAGGAGATATACCTAATGTAAATGACAAGTTAATGGGTGCAGCACACCAACATGACACATGTATACATATGTAACAAACCTGCACATTGTGCACATGTACCCTAGAACTGAAAGTATAATAAAAAATAAAAGAAGAAACGGGCTTCACTAACGCTATCGAGGGCAATTTGAGTTTGAAAAGATTCCTTCATTAAATAGGAAGGAACATGTTTTAAGAATGCTTTACATACCATATTTCACTTTATTTTTCTTTTTTATACATATAAAAGTAATTACTATGAAATATATGTTTAACTGAGTCTCAAAGAGCTCCTTCAGTGAATACAAAAATATGGTTCAATAGCACATTTTTCCATTTTTTTCTTTATGTGTCTAACCATGTATCTTAAAATTAATAATATTTTGAAAAAATAAAACACTGCAAGTGTATTACAAATACAGTTACACAATGATGCATCCTTACTAATTTTGAAATAAGATTTTGTAACATAAAAATCAATAGATTGAGACAAATACCCTATACTATATCAGCCAATAAAATAATGAAAATGTGGGAACAAGGAAGAGGAAGATAAGGAAATGACATAACTTTGCTACGATCTTCACATTTTATGGGGTGAGTACCAAGAGATTCTATGATAGTCTGAAGTGGATACATTAAGAAGTGGAAATAAAAATATATTTGGTAGAATTATAATCTTCCTAGGTAGAAATGTTATAGACTGACTCAACGTTTGTGTCCTCTCAAAATTCATTTATTTAAATCCATACTCCCAGTACGATAGTACAAGAAGGTGGAGTTTTTGGGAGGTTATTAGGTCATGAGGGTGGAACTATTGTGAATGAGATTATTGATTTTATTTAAGAGGCACAAAGAACTGCCTTATCCCTTCCACTGTGTAAGGACACAGATAGAATATGATATGAACAGGACGCGGACAATAAAATTGCTGGTGCCTTCATCTTAGATGTCCCACCCTCCAGAACTGTGGGAAGCCAATTTCTGCTGTTTATAAGCTAACCAATCTATGGTATTATTATTATAGCAGCCTGAATGGACTAATACAAGTAAAATATGACACACTTTCAAATTTTATAAGAAATAGAGACATGGAAAGTAAAAGTGGAAGGTAAACAAATACCTAAAGACCATAAAATAAAATATGGTAAATAAATGATTAATTTAAAAGAGACAAAGAAAATTCTCATAATTTTTAAAATAGAATAATAAAATAAAATATATTGCCAACTCTATATGTTATGAAATAAATAAGAAGGATAATAAATTGGACCAAAATGAACAATTTTTCTTGGTTAGGAAACAAAAACCCAGTTTTATGTTCTCAGTAAAACAGTCATCTAAATACAGTATGACTCAACAACTTTGAAAGCAACAGAATGGTCAAGGAAATATTTGTTAAATTCAAACAAATAAAATGCAGCTTGGAATACCAAACAAAACCAATACAGGTTATAATACTATTATCAGGCAAGTTTTAAATCAAAAAGGATACAGCCTTTTTTGGTGGCATGAAGGGAACCAGTTTACACATTCTAAACCGAAGATGTTACTTCATGTTTAATATTAAATCATACTACATGTAATTCATAAAATTGTGGACAACCAAATGCATGAAAAACAAAGAAATACTGACAAAAAGCTCAATATAATTGTGTAGGAAACAGTTTTACATACCAATCTGAAATTCTTTACTGACCAAATAACATTAGGTTCCATCAGACACTTCATGATCACCATCTGTAACATATGAGGGCTTGAGAGAAATTCCATAATGTTACATGTGGTACAGGCCAAAAACTGCATTTACTGTGAAAAGAGAACTTACAAAGTCAGCTTTAGTCAGCTTTTTCAGCTTTAGGAAACAAAAGATATGCATCTGTGTTTTGTCATTATTTTATAAAAAGTTGCCAGGGTAGGCCGGGCACAGTGGCTCATGCCTGTAATCCCAGCACTTTGGGAGGCAGAGGCGGGTGGATCACAAGGTCAGGAGTTTGAGACCAGCCTGGCCAATATGGTGAAACTCCGTCTCTACTAAAAATACAAAAATTCGCCGCGTGTGGTGGCAGGGGCCTGTAATCCCAGCTATTTGGGAGGCTGAGGCAGGAGAATCGCTTGAACCTGAGAGGTGGAGGTTGCAGTGAACCTGAGAGGTGGAGGTTGCATGAGTTGAGTGCAATCATGCCATTGCACTCCAGCCTGGGTGACAGAGCGAGACTCTGTCTCAAAATAAAATAAAATAAAATAAAATATAAAATAAAATAAAATAAAATAAAAATTTTAAAAAAGCTGCTGGGGTATTCTGAAAGATGTGCAGTGTATGATTCTAAGTTTTGTTGGAAAGATCTCACCAACTGAGAGCTCTCTCCTTATAAGACAAATATAAGAAGTCTTAGCAAGAGAAAAATATCAAATTATTTTAGTAACAAGATTCTTGAATAGAGCGAAGTCTATTTAGAGCAGAGGAGAAGGAAAACCATTTGCCCAGCACCTGGAGGCTTTGTGGTCTGTGCAAAGTCACAGATATTATGTTAGGAGGAAGGAAGTCATTGGTCCTGTGAGAAGCTGAGTTAGACTACCTCCTGAATAACAGGCATGTAAATTAATCATGGTGGATCACAAAACCTAAAATAAATAAAAAATAATTAAATACCTATCCACTACTTAGGAATGAAGAAAATAAAGCAAAAATGGAAGGGTATTTTTCTCAGTTATTTGATAATAAATTTTAAATGGATATTTTCTTAGAACAAGATATACTGCTACACTTAAAATAGAGCACAGGAAAAGATTTCTAAAAACAAAATCAGAAAATTGGCCAGAGGTGAATGGTTTTGTGGGAGAATGCTTTATAACCTTCAAGATACTTTCAATATAATTCAAAAGTAAAGAGAAATAAAAGATTTTCTTTTCATTTGTTATTGAAACATTATTTTATTTTTAATTGCAAATATGAATTTATTTTTTCAAATATGTAACGCTTTGGCAAGGAATATGTATTTGTTTCCTAGGGTATTTTAACAATGTCCCATGAACCTGGAGGCTTAAAACAACAGAAATGTATTGTCTTTCAGTTCTGGAGGCTGGAAGTTCAAAATCAGGTTGTGAGGGGGGCCTTGCTCTCTCTGAAACCTGTAGAGGGGAATTTTTCCTTGCCTCTTCCTAACTTCTGGTGATGGCTGTCAATCCTTGGTCCTCCTTGGCTTGCAGCTACATTACCCCAATCTCTTCTCTCACCTGCTATTCTCTCCATGCAGCTCCACATCATTTTCTTATAAGGACACAAGTCATATTGCATTAAGGGCCCACTCTATTTGGGTATGACCTATTGTCAACATAACTAATTTTAGTTGCAAAGACCACATTTTCAAAAAAGGTCATATCATGAGGTACTGCCAGTTAGGACTTTAACATATCTTATTTTGAGGGTGGTGGTTGCACAAAACTAAACCCATTGTAATATGGTAGTCAAAATTACATACAAAGTTATGCTCTATTTCATCCTTATATTTTGTTCTCCATTCCACCTAGCCCCTTATAGGTAGTAATTTCTTGTTTCTACAGCCAGTGTTTCCATTTTCAAACAAAAGCAGAAATTGTATGTGTTTGTGTGTGTGCACGTATTTATCTTCTTTTTGCTTGTGTGTGTAGCATATTGATACCCTCTTCAGCAATTTGCAAATTTTCACTTCACAAATATGTCACTCGAAATCACTACAGAGACCTCTTCCTGTACAAGTAAACAACAATCTACTTATAATCTCACTACAAGTAAACTACAAGTAAACTACAGTAAACTACAAGTAAACTAAAATCTCACTTATAATCAATAATGTAAAAAAATTACCTAATGATGTTCATGTTATTTCAACGAGTATACAGACATTATTTTAATCATTCAAAAACAATTAATTATAATGGCATCTATGTATATGTCCTCTCATACAGCTAAAACAAGCAATATAGTATTGAGGTTATGACCAGAAAGGTTGACTCACCATTTTATCATGTAATGTTTAATTAATTTGACACATTAGCTAAATTCTATGATGCTCAGGTTCTTCCTCGATAAGAACATAATGGTAATCTTCAGAACATAATAGGTAATGTACCTATTTCAGAAGGCTACATTAAAGATCAAAGAAACAATACACAAAATTTATTTGGCTGATTCTTGGCCCATAATAAGTGCCCAGTAGTGATTAGCTATTATTATTTTAATAGGAGTAGTGATTATTAGTAGGACTAGGTAGTACAGTTATTATTTTTCATGTAAAATGAGAAAAAAATATGATTAGGTCAACAGAATGTGAAAAGGCGCTTACCAAAATACAACACTATTCCTGAAAACATTTTTTTAAAACAGTTCATGGGTAGGTAGATAAATCTGTAAATAGAAGCCAACTTATGTTTACATATAAAATACCAAAAGGTGATGAGTTTGCTGCTATTGCCACCAATAGCCCACCTGAGTTGCTAAACAAAGTAATCAAAGGAAAAAATAGAAGATACCAATATGGAATAGAAAAGGAGAAATAACCATTATTTTTGGATAATATATTTACTTTAAAAGCATCATATAATCAATAGATGTATACAAGAAAATGTCCATTAAGAAGAATAACTCAAAAATAAGACTCATATTTATGAATTTAACAAGACTTGCATAGGCTTATACAGAGTGAAAGCTGTACAACTTTGCTAAGGGATATAAACATTGATTTTTAATGGAGAGATGTGGCTTTTTTCTGAAGAGAAAAACATAATCTTATAAAGATGTAACTTTCCCCAAAATTGAACAATGAAATCAAACCAACCTGCATCGAGTATAGACAGGGCTTTGTTTTTCTTGGAAGAATATATTTTTGAATTCTGGGAAAATAAATGAGTTACAATATGAGTCCTCAAAAACATCAGTAACACTTCTATAATTAAATTGTGTAGGTCTAAGTAGAAATATGCAAAAGAGTATATGAGAAAGGTCTAAAAAAGTTCTCTTTGAGATTATTTTGTTCTAATATGAAGAAAACAAATGTCAATTATGTGTATGTACCAGTAGAAGAAATTACTAAAATTGATATACCCAAAACACACAAATCTTAAGCTTTGTGATATTTTGATGTAATAAGAAATGCTTTTAAAATGTGGAGAAATAAGGACCATTCCCAGTTATATTATAGCAGTCTTGGGGAATATGCAACTTGGAAAAACAGAGCCCTGCTTTTTCAAATTGGAGTGGGAAATTCAAGTAATAAACTTGTTTCAAGAATGTAAGTGAGATGCATAAAATACATCATTTAACTCTCTGACTTTCCCCATGAAGCCCCATGTTGGAGATCTAGTTCAACCAGGTCTCCACTACTAAACTCCTAAGCAAAGACCCCTAATATTAAGGAATTCCACTACCAGGACTAAAATGAGAAGATGGTATGAGTGTCTTTGCTTGCTTTGAACTACTATCACCCTCTAGCAATAGAATAGACTTTAATTGTGTAATTAAATATACACTGTATAACATGCTTTAATTGTTCCTCATACACAGGGGACCACTTCTTTTGCTAATAGTGAGAATTACTTGGACCACTCATGATGCATAGTAAGTGAACAGAATAGAGAGCTCAGAAATCATAAGTATTCACAGATATCTTATATACAATAAATGTATATATAAAATTTGTATAGATATGATTAATTATTAAATAACTGCAATTAAGGCAATGGGCTAGTTATTTTAAAAATAGAAGCTAGGTTACCATTTCACTGCTCAGTTAAAAATTATTTCACATTCATAAAAATGAGATTAATACTATTAAAATATCAGAAGAAAGCATTGGTAAACAAGTTTGTATCAATGGACAGTAAAAACTTAAAAGTGAAACCAGAAACAATATCGTGGAACACTGATATATTTGACTATCTAAAATCAAATGTCTTGGATTGGCACAATAAATACAATGAATAAAACTAAAATACAAATCGAAAGTAGAAAAACAATTGCAGCATAGATACATATATCAAAGAAAAAAATTTAAATTATAAAGGGTTTTCACAAATAAATTATGAAATCAAAAATATGATAAACATGGGTGAAGGATGAGAATAGGGCACTTCTAAAATTAAATCAATTAACCAACACACAGGAGAAGATACTTATTGTTGCTAATATTCAAATAATGGTGACCAATATTTGTTAGTAGAAAGGTAAATTAATACAATCTTCCCAGTAGGTATTTTGGCAACTTGTCTCAAAATATTAACTAAATGTATTTCTTGATCCAATACTCTTACCCTATGTATTAGTCCATTTTCACACAGCTAACAAAGATATATCCAAGACCGGGCAATTTGTGAAAGAGAGGCTTAATTGGACTTACAGTTCCATGTGGCTGGGGAAGCCTCGCAATCATGGCAGAAGGCAAAGAGGAACAAGTCACATCTTACATGGATGGCAGCAGGCAAAGAAAGATAACTCGTGCAGGGGAACTCCTCTTTTCAAAAACATCAGATCTTGTGAGATTTTTCATGGGAAAGACTTGCCCCAATGATTCAATTACCTCCCACCGGGTCCCTCCCACAGCATGTGGGAGTTCAAGTTGAGATTTGGGTGGGGACACAGCCAAATTATATCACCCTAGTAGTATATTCTTTCTTTCTTTCTTTATTATTATTATACTTTAAGTTTTAGGGTACATGTGCACAATGTGCAGGTTAGTTACATATGTATACATGTGCCATGCTGGTGTGCTGCACCCACTAACTCGTCATCTAGCATTAGGTATATCTCCCAATGCTATCCCTCCCCCCTCCCCCCACCCCACCACAGTCCCTAGAGTGTGATATTCCCCTTCCTGTGTCCATGTGATCTCATTGTTCAATTCCCACCTATGAGTGAGAATATGCGGTGTTTGGTTTTTTGTTCTTGCAATAGTTTACTGAGAATGATGATTTCCAATTTCATCCATGTCCCTACAAAGGACAAGAACTCATCATTTTTTATGGCTGCATAGTATTCCATGGTGTATATGTGCCACGTTTTCTTAATCCAGTCTATCGTTGTTGGACATTTGGGTTGGTTCCAAGTCTTTGCTATTGTGAATAATGCCGCAATAAACATACATGTGCATGAGTCTTTATAACAGCATGATTTATAGTCCTTTGGGTATATACCCAGTAATGGGATGGCTGGGTCAAATGGTATTTCTAGTTCTAGATCCCTGAGGAATCGCCACACTGACTTCCACAATGGTTGAACTAGTTTACAGTCCCACCAACAGTGTAAAAGTGTTCCTATTTCTCCACATCCTCTCCAGCACCTGTTGTTTCCTGACTTTTTAATGATTGCCATTCTAACTGGTGTGAGATGGTATCTCATTGTGGTTTTGATTTGCATTTCTCTGATGGCTGGTGATGGTGAGCATTTTTTCATGTGTTTTTTGGCTGCATAAATGTCTTCTTTTGAGAAGTGTCTGTTCATATCCTTCACCCACTTGTTGATGGGGTTGTTTGTTTTTTTCTTGTAAATTTGTTTGAGTTCATTGTAGATTCTGGATATTAGCCCTTTGTCAGACGAGTATGTTGTGAAAATTTTCTCCCATTTTGTAGGTTGCCTGTTCACTCTGATGGTAGTTTCTTTTGCTGTGCAGAAGCTCTTTAATTAGATCCCGTTTGTCAATTTTGGCTTTTGTTGCCATTGCTTTTGGTGTTTTAGACATGAAGTCCTTGCCCATGCCTATGTCCTGAATGGTAATGCCTAGGTTTTCTTCTAGGGTTTTTATGATTTTAGGTCTAACGTTTAAGTCTTTAATCCATCTTGAATTAATTTTTGTATGAGGTGTAAGGAAGGGATCCAGTTTCAGCTTTCTACATATAGCTAGCCAGTTTTTCCAGCACCATTTATTAAATAGGGAATCCTTTCCCCATTGCTTGTTTTTCTCAGGTTTGTCAAAGATCAGATAGTTGTAGATATGTGTCGTTATTTCTGAGGGCTCTGTTCTGTTCCATTGATCTATATCTCTGTTTTGGTACCAGTACCATGCTGTTTTGGTTACTGTAGCCTTGTAGTATAGTTTGAAATCAGGTAGTGTGATGCCTCCAGCTTTGTTCTTTTGGCTTAGGATTGACTTGGTGATGCGGGCTCTTTTCTGGTTCCATATGAACTTTAAAGTAGTTTTTTCCAATTCTGTGAAGAAAGTCATTGGTAGCTTGATGGGGATAGCATTGAATCTGTAAATTACTTTGGGCAGTATGGCCATTTTCATGATATTGATTCTTCCTACCCATGAGCATGGAATGTTCTTCCATTTGTTTGTATCCTCTTTTATTTCCTTGAGCAGTGGTTTGTAGTTCTCCTTGAAGAGGTCCTTCACATCCCTTGTAAGTTGGATTCCTAGGTATTTTATTCTCTTTGAAGCAATTGTGAATGGGAGTTCAGTCATGATTTGGCTCTCTGTTTGTCTGTTGTTGGTGTATAAGAATGCTTGTGATTTTTGTACATTGATTTTGTATCCTGAGACTTTGCTGAAGTTGCTTATCAGCTTAAGGAGATTTTGGGCTGAGACAATGGGGTTTTCTAGATATACAATTATGTCGTCTGCAAACAGGGACAATTTGACTTCCTCTTTTCCCAATTGAATACCCTTTATTTCCTACTCCTGCCTAATTGCCCTGGCCAGAACTTCCAACACTATGTTGAATAGGAGTGGTGAGATAGGGCATCCCTGTCTTGTGCCAGTTTTCAAAGGGCATTCTTCCAACTTTTGCCCATTCAGTATGATATTGGCTGTGGGTTTGTCATAGATAGCTCTTATTATTTTGAAATACTTCCCATCAATACCTAATTTATTGAGAGTTTTTAGCATGAAAGGCTGTTGAATTTTGTCAAAGGCCTTTTCTGCATCTATTGAGATAATCATGTGGTTTTTGTCTTTGGTTCTGTTTATATGCTGGATTACATTTATTGATTTGCATATATTGAACCAGCCTTGCATCCCAGGGATGAAGCCCACTTGATCATGGTGGATAAGCTTTTTGATGTGCTGCTGGATTCGGTTTGCCAGTATTTTATTGAGGATTTTGGCATCAATGTTCATCAAGGATATTGGTCTAAAATTCTCTTTTTTTGGTTGTGTCTCTGCCCGGCTTTGGTATCAGGATGATGCTGGCCTCATAAAATGAGTTAGGGAGGATTCCCTCTTTTTCTATTGATTGGAATAGTTTCAGAAGGAATGGTACCAGTTCCTCCTTGTACCTCTGGTAGAATTCGGCTGTGAATCCATCTGGTCCTGGACTCTTTTTGGTTGGTAAGCTATTGATTATTGCCACAATTTCAGATCCTGTTATTGGTCTATTCAGAGATTCAACTTCTTCCTGGTTTAGTCTTGGGAGAGTGTATGTGTCGAGGAATTTATCCATTTCTTCTGGATTTTCTAGTTTATTTGCATAGAGGTGTTTGTAGTATTCTCTGATGGTAGTTTGTATTTCTGTGGGATCGGTGGTCATATCCCCTTTATCATTTTTTATTGCATCTATTTGATTCTTCTCTCTTTTTTTCTTTATTAGTCTTGCTAGTGGTTTATCAATTTTGTTGATCCTTTCAAAAAACCAGCTCCTGGATTCATTAATTTTTTGAAGGGTTTTTATGTCTCTATTTCCTTCAGTTCTGCTCTGATTTTAGTTATTTCTTTCCTTCTGCTAGCTTTTGAATGTGTTTGTTCTTGCTTTTCTAGTTCTTTTAATTGTGATGTTAGGGTGTCAATTTTGGATCTTTCCTGCTTTCTCTTGTGGGCATTTAGTGCTATAAATTTCCCTCTACACACTGCTTTGAATGCATCCCAGAGATTCTGGTATGTTGTGTCTTTGTTCTCGTTGGTTTGAAAGAACATCTTTATTTCTGCCTTCATTTCGTTATGTACCCAGTAGTCATTCAGGAACAGGTTGTTCAGTTTCCATGTAGTTGAGCGGTTTTGAGTGAGATTCTTAATCCTGAGTTCTAGTTTGATTGCACTGTGGTCTGAGAGATAGTTTGTTATAATTTCTGTTCTTTTACATTTGCTGAGGAGAGCTTTACTTCCAAGTATGTGGTCAATTTTGGAATAGGTGTGGTGTGGTGCTGAAAAAAATGTATATTCTGTTGATTTGGGGTGGAGAGTTCTGTAGATGTCTATTAGGTCTGCTTGGTGCAGAACTGAGTTCAATTCCTGGGTATCCTTGTTGACTTTCTGTCTGGTTGATCTGTCTAATGTTGACAGTGGGGTGTTAAAGTCTCCCATTATTATTGTGTGGGAGTCTAAGTCTCTTTGTAGGTCACTCAGGACTTGCTTTATGAATCTGGGTGCTCCTGTATTGGGTGCATATATATTTAGGATAGTTAGCTCTTCTTGTTGAATTGATCCCTTTACCATTATGTAATGGCCTTCTTTGTCTCTTTTGATCTTTGTTGGTTTAAAGTCTGTTTTATCAGAGACTAGGATTGCAACCCCTGCCTTTTTTTGTTTTCCATTTGCTTGGTAGATCTTCCTCCATCCTTTTATTTTGAGCCTATGTATGTCTTTGCACATGAGATGGGTTTCCTGAATACAGCACACTGATGGGTCTTGACTCTTTATCCAATTTGCCAGTCTGTGTCTTTTAATTGAAGGATTTAGTCCATTTACATTTAAAGTGAATATTGTTATGTGTGAATTTGATCCTGTCATTATGATGTTAGCTGGTGATTTTGCTCGTTAGTTGATGCAGTTTCTTCCTAGTCTCGATGGTCTTTACATTTTGGCATGATTTTGCAGTGGCTGGTACTGGTTTTTCCTTTCCATGTTTAGTGCTTCCTTCAGGAGCTCTCTTAGGGCAGGCCTGGTGGTGACAAAATGTCTCAGCATTTGCTTGTCTGTAAAGTATTTTATTTCTCCTTCACTTATGAAGCTTAGTTTGGCTGGATATGAAATTCTGCATTGAAAATTATTTTCTTTAAGAATATTGAATATTGGCCCCCACTCTGTTCTGGCTTGTAGAGTTTCTGCTGAGAGATCTGCTGTTAGTCTGATGGGCTTCCCTTTGCGGGTAACCCGACCTTTCTCTCTGGCTGCCCTTAACATTTTTTCCTTCATTTCAACTTTGGTGAATCTGACAATTATGTGTCTTGGAGTTGCTCTTCTCGAGGAGTATCTTTGTGGCGTTCTCTGTATTTCCTGAATCTAAATGTTGGCCTGCCTTGCTAGATTGGGGAAGTTCTCCTGGAAAATATCCTGCAGAGTATTTTCCAACTTGGTTCCATTCTCCCCGTCACTTTCAGGTACACCAATCAGACGTAGATTTGGTCTTTTCACATAGTCCCATATTTCTTGGAGGCTATGCTGGTTTCTTTTTATTCTTTTATCTCTAAACTTCCCTTCTCGCTTCATTTCATTCATTTCATCTTCCATCGCTGATACCCTTTCTTCCAGTTGATCGCATCGGCTCCTGAGGCTTCTGCATTCTTCACGTAGTTCTTGAGCCTTGGTTTTCAGCTCCATCAGCTCCTTTAAGCACTTCTCTGTATTGGTTATTCTAGTTATACATTCTTCTAAATTTTTTTCAAAGTTTTCAACTTCTTTGCCTTTGGTTTGAATGTCTTCCCGTAGCTCGGAATAATTTGATCGTCTGAAGCCTTCTTCTCTCAGCTCCTCAAAGTCATTCTCCATCCAGCTTTGTTCCGTTGCTGGTGAGGAACTGCGTTCCTTTGGAGGAGGAGAGGCGCTCTGCTTTTTAGAGTTTCCAGTTTTTCTGCTCTGTTTTTTCCCCATCTTTGTGGTTTTATCTACTTTTGGTCTTTGATGATGGTGATGTACAGATGGGTTTTTGGTGTGGATGTCCTTTCTGTTTGTTAGTTTTCCTTCTAACAGACAGGACCCTTAGCTGCAGGTCTGTTGGAGTACCCGGCTGTGTGAGGTGTCAGTCTGCCCCTGCTGGGGGGTGCCTCCCAGTTAGGCTGCTCGGGGGTCAGGGGTCAGGGACCCACTTGAGGAGGCAGTCTGCCGGTTCTCAGATCTCCAGCTGCGTGCTGGGAGAACCACTGCTCTCTTCAAAGCTGTCAGACAGGGACATTTAAGTCTGCAGAGGTGTTACTGCTGCCTTTTTGTTTGTCTGTGCCCTGCCCCCAGAGGTGGAGCCTACAGAGGCAAGCAGGCCTCCTTGAGCTGTGGTGGGCTCCACCCAGTTCCAGCTTCCCTGCTGCTTTGTTTACCTAATCAAACCACAACTCAGCAATGGCGGGCGCCCCTCCCCCAGCCTCGCAGTTTGATCTCAGACTGCTGTGCTAGCAATCAGCGAGACTCCGTGGGCGTAGGACCCTCTGAGCCAGATGCGGGATATAATCTGGTGCACCGTTTTTTAAGCCCGTCGGAAAAGCGCAGTATTCGGGTGGGAGTGACCCGATTTTCCAGGTGCCGTCTGTCACCCCTTTCTTTGACTAGGAAAGGGAACTCCCTGACCCCTTGTGCTTCCCGAATGAGGCAATGCCTCGCCCTGCTTCGGCCCGCGCACGGTACGCGCACCCACTTACCTGCGCCCACTGTCTGGCACTCCCTAGTGAGATGAACCCGGTACCTCAGATGGAAATGCAGAAATCACCGTCTTCTGCCTCGCTCACGCTGGGAGTTGTAAACTGGAGCTGTTACTATTCGGCCATCTTGGCTCCTCCCCCCAACCCACCGCCCCAGTAGTATATTCTTAAGGAGAATAATCTCATTAGTACAAAAAGGTATGCCACTACAGTACAGTTTCTTATCATAAAAAGTTGAAAGAACCTATTTTCCATGAATTAAAGTTTAATTAAATAAATTATTAAACATACATGAGATACTATGCCTATGTTAAAATTCATAATTCTACTGGAAGGAAAAAGCAAAAAAATTTATTAAAAGAATTAATGAAAAATTTGCTTTTAATTCAAATTATCTGACAACATGGCAATAAAAAAATAGTTGAGAATATTCCTTCTGGAGAAGTCTGTCTTTTAATCTCCAACAACAATGACCATAAATTGAAAAGAAAATTCCAGGATCAAAGGTATTTAAATCCCCCTCTTCTCTCTCTCTGTCTTTTTTTTTAATTTAACTACATAGTTACACATGCATGTAGTTCTGCAAAAATTTTCACTTGCTAGGAATTTACTAGCTCAGGTCTTCTGTGTGCAACCTATATGCCAGCAGGGTTTTTCCTGCCTTGAGAGTTCTAAATAAACTGCAGGAAATCCCCAATACATTAAAAACACTACAAATTACTCTCTATAATGAAAAGAGTCCTGTAGGCTGATTTCCTCCAGTAGCCTTTCTATAGGTCCTATACATCATATGCTCATCCTGTTTTTCCCTAATATTGGACAGGATACAATATACAGCCCCTCTGCAATTTTCAAAAAATTAAGTTGCAACATGCATTTTATGAATTTAGTAACTTTACTTGAGTTTTGAGGTTTCATGTTAATTAGTCACCTTTACAGAATTTGTACCATGAACCTCTTCTCTAAAGAATTAAAAACTTCCTCTTATGCAGGGTAGTTTCCCTGCCCCCTTTGTTTGACATCTGGATACAAATTATCCATTCCAGAAGCACACTCACATTCTCAAGAGAAAAAAAAATCCTCCCTGCAAACTGAATTTCTTTATAAGAGAAAATTTTCTACCAGATGTGAAGTTGAATAGAGTAGCCCAAATGTAGCAAATGTTATCTATGTTTTTTATTTCTGACAATAGATACCTTAAGCTTAAAGAAGTCATAATACCATAGTTGGCTTATAACAGTGATGGCAGGCAGCGTGGACTTACTACCCCAATAGTAGACTCTTTTGTTTCTTGCTTTCCTTTATGTAGGTGGAAAAAGTAAATACTTACCTTTCCAGACTCGTCTGAAGTTAGGGATGACTACTTTTAATGAGGAGATGAAAACAGAAGTTCTTGGGTGGAGTCTCTGGGAAAACTGGCAAATAAGATGGAATGGTACATTTACCATCAGCTCTTTTATTCTTCACCCTTCTTCCTGCTTGAAAAACTAAATAAAATATTTGGAAATGCAGCATCATCCCTGATTCTACAGAGATGAAAGCCACACACAAATTGGCAGGTCAGGATGGCAGAAAGATACTCAGTCCCAGATGTCATTACTGAGCTACCATACAATTCTAAGACTCTGTGACTCTGACTTCTTGGTGAAGGAGACAAATAAATGCATTCTACTGTAAGTCCAGGCAAGTGGAAAAGATACAGTAGGTTTCTATAAATATGTAAAGATCATCATCTGAGGTTTAACATTTATCAACAAGTTCCTAGTTTCCCTTATTTTGTAGTTAAACTGGATAGTCCATTGATATGGTTTGGCTCTGTGTCCCCACCCAAATCTCATCTTGAATCATACTCCAAAAATTCCCACATGTTGTGAGAGGGATCCAGTGGGAGATAATTGAATCATGGGGCAGTTTCTCCCATACTGTAATCATGGTAATGAAAAAGTCTCATGAGATCTGATGGTTTGAGAAGGGGAAACTGTTTCGTTTGGTTCTCATTCTGTCTTTCCTCTCGTGATGTAAGACATGCCTTTTGCCTTCCACCATGATTGTGAGGCTTCTCCAGCCACGTGGTACTGTAAGTCCAATTAAACCTTTATTTCTGTATAAATTACCCAGTCTCGGGTATGTCTTTATCAGCAGCGTGAAAATGGACTAATACATCCATTCTTGAATAATGTTTTGCTTAATTAATTTTTTCCTCACAACCCTAACAAGCACTACCGGTCTTATTTTAGTGAATTGACTTGCTTCTGTGATTATTGCTGATTGTCAGCATATAAAATATTAATAAATGCATTAGTAATATTAGGTCATATACAATAATATAATGAATCATTTCATTTAATTTCAAAATGTAATGAACTGCACGAACTACAGAACCTCATAAAACTGTTCTCAAAAGTCGACATATTGTATGTTGGTTATTCTTTGAAGTAGCCTTGCAATAAAAGCAAAAATAAAGCTTAGTTTGTTAATGATTCTAATGAAATTTGTATTTTTATCTTCTCAAAAGCCTAGTAGTATAAGTTATAACAGGGAGATTGCCAATATCACTTTGGAAAGTCAGTCATCCTTTTCACTTCTATAAAAAATAATTTATCATCAAAATATATAATAATAAAATACTACATTACACCAGAACCTGTGATGAATTAGGTCAGATGTGCAATGTGTGAACATTAGGAATTTTATCTCCTCTTATTGTGTGATCCTATTATGGTTCATTTCTTAAAACAGACATTAGAAAATTATAATTAGAAAAGGAAGTCAACAAAAATCTCATTTTTCTGAAATTAATTTATCAGAAAAAAATCTATGTGAAAACCTAATATGTTTTCAGAAATAATCACACAACACAAACTGAAATTGGTGAGGGAAGATACATCATCATATCACCAAAGTGCTCTTGTTTTACAGTGCAAATCATAAGGTCTTCGTTATGGGATTAAATTTTAGCCATAATAAATGTAATACTTTAAGAACTTTTTTTAAAGAACTTTTACTTGTTTTTTCTGATTTTTTGTGGTTTTCACATTTACTGATTTATTAGGGTTTTTTTTCTTCTTATACTAAAATTCTCTTAAGTGATGAGATAGAAGTTTGCATAAAAGATATTAACTTTCCCAGTCTCATTTTATGTTTCCCGTTTAAAGCAGATCATGCACATAAAAATTCTATTCCTGCAGTGTATTCCAGGACTTTAAGAAGTAACATGACTCTCAGATGGTATTTTACGTGCATAAAATGAGAACATGAAATAATGGTCTCTACTTGTAGATTATTGAGCCTAGGGAAGTGATTGATTTAGTGGATAATGTTTTGATTTATTCTCTTGTGTATTTTTCTTTCTCAGTAATACCTTTGACTGTATGTTCCTTTTCCCATTTAAACTAGACTTTGAGGTGATGCTTATTATCCAAGGAAAGGGTATACTAAAAGGTATAAATATAAATAGTCTTGATTTCTTGGGTACAAATTCCAAAATAGTCTTGAAAATCATACTCACCTTTCCTGATTTTATGCAGTAAAATATGACTTTTTTTTCCACAATCACATACTGGCAAAATATAATAATTGTTTGGGATTCAAAGGGTTTGGCTTAGAATATCACAAACAAATTTTCAACGAATTAGAGCATAAATTTTATACTAAAAATCAGAGGTTTTTAAAACTTTTGCAACAGCACGAATATATTCCAAGGGTGGGTGATAAATATGCCAAAAATATTGATGACTATAAAACCTTTAGAGTGATAAATTAATAGTGATGCAAATTTACTTTTAACTAGTCAGAAATTTCCATCATTGAAATAATAATAAAAATATATTTATGTGGCAATTCAATGTCCATCCATCAATAAATAACTGCTACTTGACTTGCCCTTCCACTGTAAATAAGTGTAAACTTGGACAAAATATATGAAGTGATTATTTTCATGCATTGAACAATAGGCAAAGCAGGACTATAATCCTCGACAGAAGACATCAACAACATTCTGAGTAGGGGTACTTTCTCTACTTGTCTTACGGAAACGGAGCTCAAGTGACGCAGTGGTATTGCTGAGCCAAGGAAGCAGAGTTTGGAATTCTATATTGCTGAAGTAGACGGAATTTTCAAGGCAGGTTCCTAGAAAGAAAGAAGTTGAACAGAGGGGCCCCACATGTCTGTGAGGACTCACACTGGGGTATTATTATTATTATTATTATTATTATTATTATTATTATTTTATTATTATTATTTTGACTGAGGGCCTTGTTGTGTAATGCTCACAGAACGACTCAGCGACACTTAGCAGAAATGTGCTGGTGCTGGGCTGAGAATGAATGAAGATAACAGAGATCACACCAGGATAAAAATATTGCAATTCTGGCCCATAAAGAAATGAGACACATTGCTGAAGATTGCAGATATTTAATTGAGAGTCAGAAAAGACATGGCTTTGGAATAAAGGTGCACCCTCTAACTAATGACAAAATCAAAATCGACCTACCTTAACAGAGACTAAAACCAAGACTAGCAGAAGCAACAAAAATCCGGGGTAATTTAATCGTCTGACAAAATATAATTAATACCCTATAAAGAAAGAAAATATAATTCAACCATGTAAATTAGCAAGGAAGCATGGTCTATTTTTTTTAATTGGTCAATAGAAACACAACCTAATATTGCTTTAATATTGTCTTTATCACATGAGGAGAGAAAAACAGCTTTTTAAAATACGTTAAAAGACTTAAAATAAACGGTAATTATGACACAGAATTATTTCAGTGCCACTTCACCAGCTGGGAATCTCTGTGGCCCGTGGCACCTCTGCCTGGGCTTTGCTCCAGCCAGTTGGGCTCACTCCGCCCACTCAGTCTGACAGGCTGTCCTCTGGTCATGCTACCAGCCAGGATCCCACACTCAACATGGGGTTGCTGCGTTCAGCTCACGGCTGGTCCAGGGATGCTGCCACCGACTTGCTACTGCCTTGGGCGCCAGTGTCTGGACCAAGGGGATGGAGTGACACCCAAAAACTCAGAGACGCCAGTAACCACAGAGCCCCATGGGAGTGTCACAACTTCTGCTCACGAAGTTCTGTGGTCTGAGCCACTAGGGAATGCCACAGGTATCTCTCTCATTCCAGCCTCTAGCTGCTCAACAAATGGGAACATGTTATAGCTTGTTCCTTCCCGCCACTCATGGCTTGGTGAAGAGGGACTTGTTATAGCCCTGGCTCAGGGAGTCCAGTGGTCTGGGCCCCCAGAAGGGTCACAGCTTTTCACTTCTGTAGTACGGCAAACAGGAGTATGACGCAGCTCTTTTCATTCATGCTGTCCACAGCTCGGCCAGGAGCTGGCCGGGAACATTTTTCAACCCTTTTTGTCCCTGCTGTTCTGTGGGTTCCAAGTTCTTGTCATGTGACCAAGAAGAATGAGGTACATGGACACCAGAGAATGAGCAAGGCAGAGAATAATTTTATTGAGCAACAGAAAAGTTCTCAACAATGTGAGGGGAACTGAAGTGGGTAGCCTTCTGTGTGAGAGGGGGTCTGAAAGCGGGTAAACCTCTGTGTGGCTGAGTCCAGGGTTTTTACAGGCTTGCAATGAGGAGGCACAGACTGTATATAGCCTTGGAAAAGGCAACATTTGATTGGTTAAAAAGCATTATTCAGAAAGAACCAATCAGAAAAGAGTGGGCAAACAGGAATAGAAATTCTCACTGTGGTCGTGGACTTTATCCCAGACTGGCAACTCAGTTTTCAGGCTTTAAATTGTCTTTGGTTTGAAGGTAGGTTTCACTGGGAACCCACGCCTGTCTGCCCATGAATTTATCTGTCTCCTGCCACTATCAATTATAATAAGTAAACCAATGAAAGAATCAAGATACAGAATATAATCTATAAAGAAATAACTACTTGAAATTCTAGAACTGAAAAATAGAATACCTGTACAGTGTGTGTTCTAAAATGTGACTTTATTTGTAACAGTATAGAAAACATATAAAAGAAATGAACTTGACCCAAAAAGTACAACACATTTAAAGAACACCTAAGTAAATGAAAAGACATAATATGAGCTAAGATCAGAAAATTCAATATTGTTAAGATATCAGTTCTATCAAAATTGATTTGTACGTTCAATGAAATACAAAATCTAATTTCATCAGAGGTTTTTATAGAAATGGACAAAATGATTCTAAAGCTTATATGACAATGCAAAGGACATTGCAATGTTGAAAAAGAAGAATAAAGTAAAAAGATTTATGCTACCTGATATCTGGAATTACTACAAAGATATGTGATAAAGACAATGTAATATTATTGTAAAAATAAAGAAATATATAAATAGAACCTAATAGAGTCCAGAAAGAGAAGGAACATGACATATGCAATACATTTTTCTTTTCCTCCTTTCCCTCTCTCATCAATATTTATCAACATCATTTATCAACTTTCTTAACAAGAAAAGAGTCTTACTTTGTCAACATAGTGCAGGGAAACCATTCTTAGGCTAAGGCAACAGATAAGTTTCAACGGAGGGAGTCTTTTGCTTCACCTCTCATACCGTAAACTGGGGAGACTAAGGATTCTTTTCAGATGCCTCAAGTCTAGTGTTTCACCAGAGAAGCAGAATAGCAATGGTTAATTGCATTGCCTCAGGCTGAATCATTTGATAAGAAACCTAAAACAGAAGGTCACACCCTGAGAAAGGCAGCCTGTGCCCCAGAAGAGCTAAAGAAGTGCTTGAGAGAGTCAGTAGAAAAGAAGAAGCTATTAAATCTTGCTAAGGAATCTCTATTAATAGACAGAACAATGGTATTTACAATACTGACTATAAATGTCAAAAGCAGATGTATGAGGAAGTCAAAATTACAGAGACAAATAAAAATGAATGGCTGCCAGGTATATGGGAATGGGGGGAGATGAATAGGTGAAGCCCAGTGGGTATTTTTAGGACTGTGATACTAATTCTGTATAGTTCTCTAGTGGCAGATACACAACACTATCCATGTGTGAAAACCAATATAATGTTACAGTGCAAATATTAAACCTTAATATGTGATTTTTTTTTAGAAAAAGATCAAGTGGAGGGTGAAGGATTACAAATGGAATGCAGACTATGGCAAAAAAATCTAATGGTATTAAAAATACCTGACATAACCTAACTGTAGGATGTGGATAAAAAGAGGTGCTGATCTCAATAACTTTGGAAACTAGACTGGACTGTAGGACTAAAAACAAAATAAAATGTTCATAAGCATTATTCTAGTTGGTAAAGTTGCCTCCAGTGGTGGTACAGGTTAAAAGATGTGAAGTCACTATTCATGTATATTGAAATTGAACCAACAAATAAATACACAGAGAACAGTGAGAGTGAGGTTTTTATTCTTGGAGAAGTTATAGATAAGCAAGATGGAAGGGTTAGAATGAATCATGTGGTTCTGGATTAGAGCCATAAAAATCTGTATAAGCTCATGTTTAGCTTAATAAAGATACTGAAGGATACGCATACCAATAGTTATAAGTATCTCTTTATGCACAGGTTAGTTATATATACATACATGCCTTAGCTCTGTTCACAAAGAGGGCCAAAACCAAAGACACCTCAATAGGAATGAGCACATCTAGAACCCAGAACTTGATTTTTAAACTCGTTCTTCAATAAAAGGAACCAGGAATACTTAAAATGGCTGAGTTTAAAGTAGCAAGTATTAGACAAAATGAGCCTGGAATAACTGTATGCCAGAAAATGAGTGCTTAAAAAAATAAGATAATTGGGTTAAGTCAAAAGGGCTTTGAAAGTTCTCCCAATAGCCAAAGATGAAACAATCTGAGCAACAAAATAAGTGGCATATTATATTAGTCAGGGTTCTCTAGAGGGACAGAATAGGGTAGATGTTTATACATATATATACAGGGGAGTTTAATAAGGAGTATTGACTAACACAATCACAAGGTGAGGCCCCACAATAAACCATCTGCAAGCTGAGGAGCAAGGAAGCCAGTCCGAGTTCCAAAGCTGAAGAACTTGGAGTCTGATGCTCGAGAGCAGGAAGCATCCAGCACAGGAGAAAGATGTAGGCTGGGAGGTTATGCCAATCTAGTCTTTTTATGTTCTTCTGCCTGTTTTTATTCTGGCCGCACTGGCAGCTGATTAGATTGTGCCCACCCAGATTATGGGTGAGTCTGCCTTTCCCAGTTCACTGACTCAAATGTCAATCTCCTTTGCCAACACCCTCACAGACATACCTTCAGTCCAATAAAGTTGACACTCAATATTAACCATCACACATAGCATTGGATTATAATCTAAAACAAAATAAATATCCACAATTCAATACTATGATCAATCAACCAAGGAGTACAAGTCTACATGGAAGAAGTCCAACTAATTTATGTAGATACTCCCTTCTCTACCAATTATGTGGGTTTAGTGACTTAGTTCCACAGAATAAATTATGAAAAGTGTGTGTCAGGGGCAAGGGTAGGTTTACAGTGAAGAAACCTAGCAAATATTACCTTAGACAAGTAATCACCATTAACATCAATGGTAAATCAAGTTGATAGCATGTGCCTTTTACGTGATATGCTATGGTCTTCCTCACAAAAACTCCAAAGCCCTGTCTAGCCATGAGAAAATAATCAGGCAAATTTTAATTGAGAGGCAGTCTTCAAAATATCTGATCATTACTCTTCAAATCTCTCAAGGTTGTCAAAAAAAGGAAAGCCCAAGGAAAAACTGTCACAGTCCAGAGGAGCCAAAGAAGACATAAGGATTAAATACAAAGTGCTATCTAGAGAGGATCCTCTATCAGAAAAAAAATTAGAGAAAAACAAATGAAATCTGAAAAACAGCAAAGAGAGTAGTTGATAATAATGTATCAATTTTGGTTCATTAGTTGTAACAAATGTACCACACTAACATAAGATCTTAATAATAGGAGAAACGGTGTGGGGTATATGGAAACTCCACTATATTTGCCACTTTCTGTAAGTTTGTAACTATTCAAAAATTTAAAGTTTGTTAAAAATAGTAAACAAAAATATATATACAGAAGGAGCAGTGCTTGGCAGTACTGTAATACAGATAGAATAAGCCATACCATGGTTGCAATTAATGAGATCAGAGACTGGCCCAAAAAACAAATGTTTTTCCCATAAGAACATCCTGGAATTAGGTGACTTTTGGGCAAAAGAGAGAGAGAAATAGGAGAGAATCAGAATCATCATAAAGACCACTATTTTTAACTGGAAGAAGCTAATTTATCTTGATTGCACAATTATGATTTCTATGACCAAAGTAATAGAGAACTCAAAACTACATTTACTTCAGCGTTAAGTGATAAAATCAGGCTTATATTGGATTTTGTGGGCAGTCATAAATTTGAAAATGTATACCTTCTTACTCAGATATGAAAGGAACAATTCATGAAGGGTGCAAAAACAGAAAATAGAGGGTACCATAGCATCAGAAAACAGAGTTAACTCACTGTGGGGATTCATTAAAGATCTGCCCTGTTTCTTGGATGGAAAAACATAGGTTTAGCACCAGATGAGCTATATTATTGGTGCAAGTTAAATAAATATATTGAAATGTCTCAGGAAAGCAGAATTGAATGTACCTAGTGATATAAATTAGGACAATAATAGGCTGATGTGCAACATGAGTAATCAAAGACAGTGGGAAGGTGCAGGGAAGCAGGCTGCAATTTTAAATAGGGCAGTCCAAGTAGAACTCATTCTTGTGGACTAGAGCACATTGAAACAGGCTTGAAGAAGATTTAAGTGTTAGCAATGTGTGACAGCCAATGAAAAAACACTAAGTCAAAAGTGAGTTTGCCATGTTTAAAGAACTGCAAGAACAGTGTGTTTTGAGGAGAGCAAGTGTGAGTGAGAGTAACTAGCTATGAGTTCAGGTGGGGGTTACAGACTGTAGAGTCTCGAAGGCAAAGTAAAAATCCCAGCATTTACTCATAGATAGAAAGTCACTGCAAAGTTTCTCAACAAGAGTATCATAATCTAACATTTCAATAGAATTATTAATTCCACAAATGATTTAGAAGAGTTTAAGGAAATGCATGTAGAAAACATGAAGAAATGACCTATGGAAGGTTTCATTTAGAGTACACAGATTATGAGCTATGGATATATTTAACTATATACACCTTGAAATGTATAATGTATAATTTCCATGAACAAGAGGAATCTTTTCTTCACAAATAAATGTAAATGGTCTGCCACTGTGGGCTTTATCTTCAACACTGTCTCATCTCTTCCCAAAATGAGTTTATTTGTAAATTGCTGATTTATTTGGAACATTGTCCCCGTAAACTTTTCGTAAAGCATCAGTGATTTTTATCATTTTCTGCCCAAGCTTAGCCATAAATTTGATGTTTGCTCCTTCTTCAATTTTAGCAGACTTCATGTTGCTCTGATAAGGGCTTTGTTCAAACTGTTGTCTTATCCTTCTTAGTGCTACAATCTGGATTCTGTTCAAATATGTTACAACAAGTTAGTATGAATTTATTTTGGTACAAAAAATTTTAAAATCTATGCATAGCTTTTTTATGATATGTATTTTCCATGAACTTTTTGAAGACCCTTTACATGATAATGCTTCAACGATTATTTCTGTCCTAAAGTTAGTGTTTCTATCATGCTGCATTGTCTTTACAGCTATATTTAAGAGATAATAAATTTAACATAATAAGTTTAATTCAAGTTGCCACCATAATAACAAGCTCAATTTCAACATATTACTATAGTATCTCCCTAAAGTTCCTGAAAATATTGAGAAATTATTTCATTGGTAATTTCTCCAAAGAGAACAAAGCTTTCAATTTGTGCTATTCTTTGCTTGAATCTTAAGGCTGAATTTTCTGAACTTGTTATGAGAACCAATGATCAGGAGACATGGAGCTAAATAAACCTTCTCATGGAAGCTTATACTCACAAGTCTGGTTTTCAAAAGGTGATAAGTCCATTTCCTTACAAGTTCATTTTTAAGCCACACAGAAAATGACTCCTTTAAACTCTGAGTCAAGTCATGACAGACTAAGGTAATGATGTCTAATATCAGAGGCCCATTTTGCAAATTGTTTTCATGGAAAAAATATTTATGAAGACAGAAACTTTCAGAAGAGAAGTACATTGGGAATAGGAGTTAAAGGTTACTAGAATACTTGAAAAGTCATATTTATAACTGTATTAGTCCATTTTCATGCTGCTGATAAAGACATACCTGAGACTGGGTAATTTGCAAAAGAAAGAGATTTAATTGGACTCACATTTCTGTGTGGCTGGGGAGGCCTCACAATCATGGCAGAAGGCAAGGAGGGGCAAGTTACATGCAACGTGGATGGCAGCAGGCAAAGAGAGAGCTTGTGAAGAGAAACTCCCGGTTTTAAAACTGTCAGATCTCATGAGACCCATTCACTATCATGAGAAGAGCACGGGAAAGACCAGTCCCAATGATTCAGTCATCTCTCACCAGTCCCCTCCCACAACAGGTAGAAATTATGGGGGCTACAAGATGAGATTTGGGTAGGGACACAGAGACAAACTACATCAACAACAAATCTTCCTACTGGGAGAAGAAATGTTAGTCAGCAGAACTTTTAGCATTCTCAACAAGCAGCCAATGAACTATATGGCCTGACGTGTTATGTAATAGAGTACTTTATCCTTAAACAGTATTTTCCTATTTTATTTTCTCCATTTCTAATAAACACAAAGTTGTGTTCTAAGTTTTATGGACTTTGGTGTACTTCACAAGACAAGAATTTTAATACACATTTAACCATGATATTACTAACTTTCTCTCATACATAGCCAACATTTTTGAATTTTTTAAAAAAGTTTTATTTTAGCTTTTAAACAAAAGTTAATTTCTTATGTCCCCAAAAAGTATGTCTATACCATTCAAAATGAAGAAAATAAGGCACAATGATGTAATTGACATACTTATGGCCACAGGAAATACAGAGGCAATAGCATCTGTCACCTATGCATACTTCACACAATAAACATACCTGATTAATACAGTCAAATGTTAGAGTAAAAAATGAGAGCAGAAAGCAGAAAACACAAATTCTAGATGAAGTACAAATTATTCAGTTATGCATGCATTCAGCACTTATATATTCAGTATTAGGTGTGTTCCAGGTTTTGTTCTGGATGCTGAAAATATAGTAGTTAACCAAGACGGTGTCTGATCTTCTGGTACTTATATTCTAGTGAGAGAGAGGAGTGATAATTATATAAATTGTAAATCATATAGAAATTGGACATATTTAAGCAAGATAAGTTGAAAGTATGCAAGGGGAGAGAAAATGGTGATAAGGAGGTTATATTCGATAAGTCCATTGAAGATGACCTCTCTGATTAGATATTTGAGAAAAAACCTGGATATTGAGAAGGAGGGAACCTTGGAAAAGTGTGAGAGAAAAATATTTCTCACTAAGTGGATAACTAGTTTAAACTAAGGTGAAAATGAGTTTATCAGGAATAACAAAAAGGCCATTGTGGCTAGAGCACAGTGAGTAAAGGTCAAGAGAATGAAGTTGGAAAGGGAGCCAATAATCATATCACGTGAGTCATTGTAGGCCAAAGAAGAGTTTACATTTTGCACTAAATTAAAGGAAAAACATCACAGAGTTTTACATGTTTGTGTGTGTATGTGTGTGTGCGTGTGTGGGGGTGTGTGTGCATCACTTGGGTTGGTTGCTGTAGGTCAAATGAACTATTAAGAGGAAAGAGTGGAAGCAGAAATACCACTTAGGGGAAAATTGCCCCAGTTGAGGTGTGACATAATGGTGGCCGGGTCATAAGGATGGTGATGATTTAGAAAGTGAAGAATAATACAATTTGGCATATTTTGATTTTCGAGCCCACAGGATTTTAATAGATGGATATAGATTGAACAAGTACAGAGAAACCAAGATTGACTCAGATGTTTAGATTGTTTATCTGGTTGAATGGTAGTGAATGAAATGGGATAAGAAAAATGGGGAAGAAACAGTTTTGTGGAAAAGGTGAGAGGAAATCAGCACAAAGTTATGTTTTAGATATGTAAAAGTATTTGAGACACTCAATAGATATCCATACTGGAATGTCATCTAGACTTTCAAGGCAGTGAGACTTTCAAGCCTGGAGCTCACAATAGTGATTAGAGCTCAAGATCTAATTTAGGAATTGCTTGTCAAAAAAATTGGATACTTAACCTAAGTTTTTTAAACACACATATGAGAGTTGACTATGTGCTCAAGTGCATAGATTAATTGGAAAAAATACAGGCCCTATTTGGAACTCTTTTGAGTTTAAAAGACAAAGTTTTGTTAAATTCTAGAACAGCATGTCAGAATAAGTGTGCATGGGGAATAAGAGTAAGTGTGCATGTGTATATGTGTGTAGCTAATAGGAGGAGCTGTTTCACCATAGGATCTCTAGGAAATGTTCTATTTTATCCAAAGTTAGTTAACACAATTTTATTTCAAACATATTCACATTATTCTAATTTTCTACTTCCTTATACTGTGTCTTAAGTAGTACCAGGTATTACCACAAATTTTAAAACATATTTTACATTATTATCTTATGGATATAAGTGTATTTCTACATTGAGGATTAATTTTAAAAATCTAGCTCCTTTGATGCACATTAGATTTTATACGGAGGTAATATGAATATAAATCCAACAAACCTGTTTATATAGGAAAGACTAATAGCATTTCTTCTAAACTTTCCACTGTCTCAGTAGATTGAAAAGGTGTTAGAGCAGTCGTTAAGGATAAGGAAGGAAATCTAATTAAGAGAAATTTTTTGACCTGTGGATATGATTAGGAATTACTTCAATCAATCCAATTAGGAGCCATTCCTCCTAGTTGGACAGAATCAAACTCAGTGGAAAAATACCTTAATATTAATACAACATTGTACACAAATCTTGTCAGCATTTGAAAAAGGAATTTATAAAAATATTTTTATTAAAAAATCTTATTTTAACATATGTATGAGGATATTGCTTTCTGTACACCCTAATCAATTAATATACGTGTTTTCTATAATTTAAACCAATGGATATAGTATTTGCTTAGTCTCATATGAAGACTCATTTATTGGGTAATTGTTACCCGACAATCTGTCTTTATTTAGAAAGCTGTTTTTATTCACATCACATCTTAAAGGCTGAGAAATAAAAGTCATAAAAATATCAGTGACAGATAAAACAGAGAAAATTGCTCTGAACAAACTCTTCTAGAATAGTGTGGTGCATATAAATTATGAAAACACTAAGACTTGATCAAAAAGGAAGGTCTTTAACTTTCATTTAAATGCATGAACAGATGTGGCAGACCTAATGTCAATGGATAAATGGCCCCAAAATGTGGAATATGAGAACGAGATCTCTGAATGTTTTTAAACTCATGCCAGGCATGGCTGGATTCCTCCCACAATAAATGAAAGACCTAGGGTGCATGTAGGGCAACTGTCAAGGCTTATAGAGCTTTGGCCACGAAAGAAAATTGAGATGGCTTTGTGAAGAGAATTATTATCACTTAAAAATTAATTTACTGTTTCACAGTCAACTGTACATATGAAGCATATAAAGACAAGTTGAACCCCAATTAAAAAATGCATATCATGTAAGTCTATTTTGAATTATGTCTCCAATTGTATTCTTTATTTCCTGTATAATTTCATATATGCTTGCAAGCTAGCTAAAGCACCAGAAAATCTATTTGCAGATTTACTACAACAAGAATTCCTTATGTTTGCCCCAATTGTTTGTGTTTGTGTGCACATTGTATCTTCTGGTAAAATTTTCAGGTTTGGTTAGTCTGACCTGATGTTATAAGTATACTAGAAATTTTAATTCTGTGGAAGCACTTGTGTCACTATGGCATATGTTCCTCCCAATACAAGGATTATTAGGACAGTCTCCAGATGGATTTAAAAGTTGTTTTAACAAAATTCAAAGCCTTAAAATGCTTAATTTTAAGAGCAGGTAATAGTTACATTTGTAGTGCAACATACTAAATTGTGTCTTTAGAGGCACTGATTATATATTCTTAAAAGTAGATAACAACTGACAATCATATGGCACTTTATTTCTTATAAAGCAACTTTATTTAAATTATTCCATTTCATTTTCTCTGTCATTCTGTGAGGTTATTACTACTGTGACCCAAATAAATTGTATCAATTTGACTCCCTCTGCATTACCATAATCATTCCCTTTTCTCCATCTTCAATGCTGTTGTGTTAGTTCATGAATTTTTGATCTCTCACCTAGACTAGAACAATAGTCTATGAGTTATTTTTCTGCCCACGGTTTCATAACATTCCATTTCATCTTCCAATTGATGCCAAATAATCTTTCTAATCTATCTGGAAAAATATTTAAAGGACCACAAGTTTCTTTTTTCCATCTTCTCCTTTATCCCATCTTCAGACTTTAAAACCCATATTTCCTTCACTCCAGGCTTAAGGAGTAATTTACGGATAATAAGCATGGTGTGCTAAGCCATTCTTGTGTTGCTATAAAGAAATACCTGAGACTGGGTAATTTATAAGGAAAAGAGGCTTAACTGGCTCATGGTTCTGCAGGCTGCACAGGAAGCATGGTGCTGCATCTGCTCAGCATCTGGGAAGGCCTCAGGGAGCTTTTACTCATGGCAGAAGATGAAGCAGGAGCACGCACATCACATGGGGAGAGCAGGAGCAAGAAGGTGGGGAGGTGCCACACTTTTAAACAACCAGATCTCCTGAGAACTCATTCACTATCATGAGGACAGCACCAAGCCATGAGGGATCCTCCTCCATGATCAAAACACCTCCCAGCAGGCCCCGCCTCCAACACTGGGGATTACATTTCAACATGAGACTTGGGAGGGACAAATAACCTAAACTATATCACATGGTATGTAATTTCATACCTCTATACTTTTCATCATGCTCTTCTGTCCATGTAAAATGTCCCTTATTCCACCTATATTTGCTGATAAGCTATATTCTTTTCCCAATTCCTAAATAAAGGGTTTTATTCCTATGAAATTTTTCCTTCTCTGTACATAGAATTGACCACTTCATTTTGGATATGCCTACTGAATTCTACACATACATTTATTGTAGTTCTCCTAATTATTGATTTGATTAGTTTATGTTTATTTCTCTATCTCCACTAAGTATCTCTTTGGAAGAGAGACTGGACTCATTTATCATTGTATCTCTAGTTCCAAACACACACATACACAAACCTCAATATTTACTGAACATAGGAGTAAGTGAAAACTGGGGTTGTTTGAATTCAGAGACTAATATTTCCTCCACATCATTATAAGAAATAAAAATATGATTATGTTTAATGCACAATGCTCTTTTAAACAATTTACACTTTATTTTATTTCACAATACCGTTTCATGAAAAAGTGCTATTTTAATGTCCATTTTACAGATGATGTAACTAAGTCCCAGCTGTTACTAAAATTGCCTAGGGCTATACAAATAGTACATAGCCAAGGCTCTAACTTCAGAGTCTGTGGATTTAAATGCTACATTATGCTTTTACATAACGAAAGTGAAGATAAAAAGTTAAAAATGAATGAAATCAGATTGTAGATGTAAAAAATTTATTGTTTTGAGACCTTAATGTAAGATGGATATTGGCATCAAATCTGAACTCAGCAAGATCTCTGCTACCTTTCTCTTTTCTCGTCTTCTTCCATGGCACTGTTCCCAAAGAAAAATCTACATTATACAGATTTATATAGAATTGCAATTAACTCTATGCAGGAAAAAGTAGATAAAAATGAGAAAATTTGGGGCAGTTTGCAAACTGCCAAATTTAAGCCTGAAACAATTAGCCTAACTTCTTTCCCCTCTGCCACCGAGTTTTAAAATGCACAGTGTGTCACAGATCAACTATTGACTTAAATTATTTAGGGTATAAAAAATAAATTTTAAGCATTATGCTTTTTTTGTTTATCTTGATATTGAGAGTATTTTTATTTATTGTATGTTGTACCATATTTATGTATTTAGAATTTTATGAGGGAAATATTTTGGTGTTACAAGTATAGCAACAACAACAAAATGCTGTCTTGTTATTTTCTTAAAAGTTCCATGAAAAAAATCATCAAAGAACCAAAGGTAAGCATACTATAATTTGGCCATGAAAACATCTCCTTGAATTGGAAATACAGCGAAAAGGCAGGAAAAAAAAGGAAAAATTACAAATCAAAAAAATAACTCCTGGAACTTGACATTTGCTTTGGAGAAAGATGGTAAGAGCATCTATGTTTAAGTGGAAGATAATCTCACTGCACTAAACTGTGTCAAAGACACATTCCAATTGTGTGTTGCGTAATGAAAGTTGTTTATTAAGCCAATTTATATATGTTTGAGATTTTGTTTGTGAAACAGAGACAGGCTCACCCTCCCAGAGAAAAGCAATCACAAAATAAAATATAAAAAATACATAGATTAAAACCACTAATTCTACCTTGCCTAAGTGTATTTCTTCTATTTGTTTTGTGTATCTTTTCTGTCACTAATAATTAACCTTCAAGGTATCAAGAAAATCATCACCATCATTTGCCATTTGGGTTCAAAAGGAAGCCTTTTAAAAATAAATTGGTGTTTTAATAAATAATTCATAGAAGTAAGAATAAAGAGTGGAAACACTATCTTATTTATATTAGAAACTAATATAAATACCTAATATAATTGATTTATAATTATATAAGTAATATAACTTATATGAACACTAATTTGTATTAGAAATTTTAAAATAAATTTCACCATTGCAGACCTCTTTATAACAAATAAACTTTGGCATGCAAACATCATAATGGCTAAAAAAAATACCATTACATCTCCCTTTAACAAAGCAGCACAGAACAGGTCCTTGCTGCACAGCATTGCCTAATGAAGCCTTTTCTATTTAATGCCTAAGTAGAATAAATTATTATATTCCTTTTTGTCCTTGGAAATATGTTTTTCACTTATAGATACTTGAGTTTGAGAAAATTCCTCTTGTTATTGTCACCTGAAGACTCATTGTATCATTGCCTGAGATTTTACTTACATTATCCATTTCACCATCATCATTAGAGTATTACTACCTATTTATTTGAATAAATCTTCTGATTCACTAATAATTGTAAAACATCTTATTCATCAATTTTATTATATATCCCATCAGGATAGAAAATGAAAAATTCTGAATTCTCAATTATGTTCAATAAAAGCTAAAAGAAGACTATAAAGATGGTATCTCCTGACTTCTTTTATGCCTTTTTAAAAGATGACGCAACATTTTGGGCAACAGAATAAAGAAACTAATAAGTCTTTCACTATTACTTTATCCTTCTAAAGGAAACGTAGCACAGGTAAACATTTTCTGAAAGGGCCATATGATAAATATTTTAGGTATATGGGCCACATGTTCTCACTTGTAACTGTTCAACTTTGTCATTGAAACAAAAGCAGCTATGAACAAAATAAATAAATAAATGTAACTGTGTTCAAATAAGTATTTTTCAAAATCTGTATTGGTCAGAATTTTCCAGTGAAACAGAATCAATAGAATGTGTATTTGTTTTGTATCTACATAAAGATGTTTATTATAAGAAATTGACTCATGTAAATATTGAGGCTGAGAAGTCCAGACCCAGGAGAACCAATGGCATAAGTTTCAGTTCCAGTCCAAGTCCTAAGGCAGGAGAAGACCTATGTTCCAGCTCAAAGACAGGCAGAGATAGAGAGCATTCTAACTCATCTTTTATTCTATTCAAACCATTAAGGAATTAGATGAGGCCCACTCATATTGAGGACAGTCAGCCTTACTCAGTTTACCAATTCAAATGTTAACCTCATTCAGAAAAATTATCAGAGACACATCCAGATTCATGTTTGATCAAATATCTGGGCATCCTGTGACCCAGTGAAGTTGACATACAAAATTAACCATCATAAGTCCAACCTTTATCAACATGACACCCATACACATCTCCTTAAACCATATTTAATCTTCAAATAAAGACAATAACAAGGTCATAATTCCCTCTAGCATGATTCAACTTTCTTATGTACAACCACAAACATATTATGTCCCTTTCCCAGAGGACATAAAGTCTTTGAGTGATGTTTACTCTCCTCTTGGATATCCTGTAACTTAAGTACTATGATAAAGTTGACACATCTTATGTTACATGACAAGGGAATAAGAACAATTCATAAGAGTTTAATAAGAATAAGGAAATTTGGCCCTCAATCCATATCATTTCTGTGGATATAGATAATTCCATCATTCTTCTTTTTTTTCTGTTTTGCCTTTTAAAACACAACTAAGAATAATTGATTAATGATGAAAGAGTTCCTATAGTGATAAAATAGCAAAATATTTCAAGATATAAAAATTAAGATTGCCAAGATTTCATAATGTTGCTTAGATTTAGAGATATGTACAATAAATTCATAAGATAGAATAAGTTTTATTCTATTCTAAAATGATTAAATTTTGCACTTTTCTTTGACAGAGTGCTTTAAAAACGTGACGAAATATCAATTTTATCAATAGTTGAAAATACTAACATATGAAATTCAAATCTAAATCCTGGGACAATAAACTCTGTAGGCACATCAAGTGTTAAGAATCTCCTATATATATGACATCGTGCTAAGTGCCATTGGTGATATACTCATCTATGTTTGTATCTTTTCCATAAAATGCAAGGCATTTGCCTCTTCAGAAAGCAAAAGCCACTCAGTCAGGAAGTGAGAGAAACTATCTAAGGGCTACGTTAGGGATTTACTGAAAGTTGACTAAAAACACTTTTAATAGCAGTGGAGGCTGGCTAAGGAAATTAGTGACAAAAGTAGATGCTAATGTGAATAAAGATCAAAGATTGGTAAATTATAATAATATAACTAAGAAGGATGTTTTAGGAACACACAAAATCAATGAAGCTAGAATAAAACTAATAATCTCTTATAATTGGAATAAATCAAGACAAATTATTTCGAGAATTAAAAACTAAAGAACAGGTTCTTTACTTTTGTTCTGCCTAAATAAACAAAAAAGAGGCAAAATGCTGGCAGATTAAGTTTCAAAACAGTAACCAGTGTTACTTTATTTATTTATTTATTGAGACAGAGTCTCACTTTGTCAGCAGGCTGGAGTGCTGTGGCACGATCTCGGCTCACTGCAACCTTTGCCTCCTGGGTTCAAGCGATTCTCCTGCCTCAGCCTCCTGAGTAGCTGGGACTACAGGCATGCACCACCATGCCCAGCTAATTTTTGAAGTTTTTTTAGTAGAGATGGGGTTTCACCATGTTGGCCAGGATGGTCTCAATCTCTTGACCTTGTGATCTGCTCGCCTCAGCCTCCCAAAGTGCTGGGATTACAGGAGTGAGCCACTGTGCCTGGCCCAGTGTTACTTTAATAACAAGTATCTGTAATTAATATATGAGAAATTCTGAGATAAAATCACGTTAGTACCTTAATTTGCTCTTTATTTTACATTTACTAGAATTTTTGCAAGAAAATTAATCTCTCACTTGGTGGCACTTGCCAGATGCCCGTCTGTGGAACACAAAACGTAAAAGCATCCCACCCACCAGTTTAACAGCTTGACTTAAGAAAATATGAGACAGCTCTTCATGAGAGAAGAAAAACCAAAACAAACCTAATGGACATTAGTAAAATTAGAATAAAAAAGTGTGTTCAATTATTTACATGAGTTCTTCTTTATAACTTGAAGGCAAATAACTATGGAAAAAGAAAGGAATAAAGAAAGATAAAAAGAAACTTAATTTTTCACCAAACAACACAGAACCAATTTGGCCAAAAAAGTTGTAAAAATAATACTACTTTTGGGCAGAAAGAAATTCTATGTGAAAATCTGATTCTTAAAACTCTCTCAAGGTATGTTCGTAAATTAAGTTTATGTACTTTTTGTGGAATGGATGGTTGGTCATCTGAAAAATGTTCCTTGTGAATCTCCAGCATAAAAGAATTAAAGAGCACATTGTGTACAGCAACACTGTATGTGTTTTAGCACCTTGTGGATAGGCAAAAAGTGCATAGGTTGTATTTTAGGACTTCAGTCACTGGTACATTCTACATTGGCAGTAAGATTTTGATTTATGATATATTAAGATGATTCTAAAGTGGTTCTATTTCAAAATGCATTATAGAAAGTAGTCATTACTGAATATTAAAAAGTAGACATTATGTAAAAATAAGCCAGTAAGTTACAGAGGGAAAAAAATATTAGGAGTTAGAAGTCTTAACACTTAGTCCTAACTCTGCCTCCAATTCACTTAACATATCTGACCTTAGTTTCTTTATCAGAAATGAAGATATTATTTCAGTTTCCTCCTTTTTCTCTCAGATGGGAGAAATGAAAAAATGCCATGAACTTCTCTCAGGGTCCTGTATTCAGCTGTCCCTTGCCATTGGTTCACTCTGACATGTACTAGCAACTACTAGGCATGTTTCACTAATCAAGACAAGTCCAAGAAATAGTTTACATGCCATGGTAGAAATTCCTCACCAACTGTGAGGGTGCATGATTGTGTTTGACAAAACTAGGGTTAGCTGGATCAAGATCTTCTAAAAAGTTAGCGGTGGAAAAAGCAATCAGTATAACGCCATTAAACATATTAAAAATTGATCTAAAAAAAGTTCCAGAGGATATTTATGTCTAGAAGAAACCTAGGTTGTCAGCCTTATAAACCTACTCTAATGCCTGAACTTTCTTCAGAATCATCTTTGTTTTTTAATAATACAGCATCCTAATCTACTAAGATAAATTTTTACCCCAGGTTTTAGACATAATAGGGTATTATGTCTGCAACTTACTACCAAATAGATCAGGAAAAAAATAGTTCAAATTTGTGATAAGGAAACTTCAGTGAGAGAAATGGAAAGACATAAAGTAAAAGTGGCAAAATGTTCATGAGTAAATCTGAGTAAAAGATAGGTATATAGAAAGTATATATTAATATTCTTGCAATTTTTAAAAGTTTGAAATTCCTTTAAGATAAGGGTTTTTGGTAGTCTCCTTTAACTGTTACCTATTATGCTGCCTAATCATAAATTATTTTCAGCATTCAAATGTACACTTTTCTAGGCCCAACCTTATATCTACATAAATTATAAACAATTATCTTTTTCTATACTACTATGTAGACTTTTTCACAGAAGAAGAGGACATCAATAATAGTCTATTTTTATTTAACAAATAGCTTATCACCTTCAGAGGCAGTTTCATACGCCATTTAAAACATATTTTAAAAATGCAACTCATCCCCAACTAACAATAGTTCAACTTATGATTTTTCAACTTTATGATGGTGTGAAAGTGATAAGCATTCAGTAGAAATGGTACTTTGAGTACCTATACAACCATTCTGCTTTTCACTTTTAGTAGGGTATGCAATAAGTTACATGTGATATTTAACTTCATTATAAAATAGACTGTGTTGGATAATTTTGCACAACTGTAGGCTAATGTAAGTGTTCTGAGCACATTTAAGGTAAGCTAAACTAAGCCATGATACTTAGTAGGTTAGGTGTATTAAATGAATTTCTGCTTTGTAATATTTTTTACTTATGATAGGTTTATAATGACATGAGTCTATCATAAATCAAGGAGCACCTTTATGCTTATATATACAAATACATAGAAATTTTTCTAGAGATCTTTTGAAGCCCTTTTATAGATCAAAGTGGCTCTGAATAACTGATACATTAAAATATCAACTTTTAAAAATATTTTATTATGCAAACTATTAAAATTGCCACATTAGTATAATATTCTACTTACTAACTACAGGTAGCTTGGAATTACTGTTTCTTTCTCTTTAGCAGATTATAATCTAGAGTTGTCATAAATACCAACATTCAATAAATTGCCTTGATTTCAATTTAATAGGGCAGATTCAAATCATAAATTTATTTTAGACATTGTGATAGTAGCATGATACCTCAATTTAATATAAAATTGTGGCACTCTGAATTTCATGTAAACCTTAATAATTATTTCCTAAATGCAAATTTTGAAAACTGGATTTCAGCAGAGGATGAATTTGAAACTTCAAGCTAGCTATGCCTGGGAAGATATGCCAGTATTTACAGTTGAGTTATGACACACATACATATATTTTACCAAATTATTGACAAAAAGGCATAAAATGCCATAGCTTATTTCTGATATATAGTCTAATGAAAAAGTACTGTTTAAAAGAGAAGATAATATGGCAAAATATTCCCTCCTTCTCTGATTTACTATTCATTTATCTTAAAAAACTTAAGTAAAGAAACATAAAGTTTTATAAATATTCTATAAGTAAAAGTAAAAATGGGCTTCCTAAAAGTCAACGTCCCTAGATAATTTTTTTTTAACTAAAAATGATCATTCACAAGCAACACCATTGGATGTTAGGGAAGCTAATTTCAACACACAGTTGGTATTCAGTAGCTAAATAATTCTTTTAGCCCTAAAATATGGAGGTAATTCAAGATGCTCTAGGGAGCAGAATAGATTAATTTGATAAAGAAATCCTTAGACACACAGTTTAGGGTTCAACATTTGAGCTTCATGGACCAATATACAGAGGAATTTACTTGCCTTTTAACTGGGTGGAACCCATTTCCTCAAATTCCTCAATATATAGTTATTTAATTTTCAAAGAAAAATTTAGAAAACATGAGTCAGTCAGTCAGTTTATTGCAAAAGTGAATTTACCCTCTTGCTCATGGTCACCTGGTTAGTTAGTGGCTGAAATAGGCCAGCAATTAAGGGCTTTGACTCCACTCTCAGGTCTATCCCTTGAAGCACTCTGCTGCCTCACTCTATTTCATGTGAACACAAAAAAGTGTGGCTTTTATAAACATATCTTTTATGGAATTTCAATCTTTAAAGAAAACCTTTAAGTAACAATTTAAAATGTGTTTCTCTTTGAAAGAGCTTATTCTGTCAGTGCATATATTACAATTATTGAATGGGAAGAGAATAATCAAAGACAATTAAAATGTCATAATACATTCATTTTACTTGCCTTAATTTGTGCACAATTTTAAGCAATATTTTTGAAGATTATTTATAAAGAACTAATCTATGTTACTTTCTTTGTATTGAGAAAATCATTTAGATAATAAAAAATTTCTAGGCTGGGCGCGGTGGCTCACGCCTGTAATTCCAGAACTTTGGGAGGCCGAGGCGGGCAGATCATGAGGTCAGGGGGTCGAGACCATCCTGGCCAACACGGTGAAACCCCGTATCTACTAAAAAAATCCAAAAAATTAGCCGAGCTTGGTGGCAGGCGCCTGTGGTCCTAGCTACTCGGGAGTCTGAGGCAGGAAAATGGCGTGAACCCGGCAGGCGGAGCTTGCAGTGAGCCGAGATCGCACCACCGCACTCCAGCCTGAGAGACAGAGTGAGACTCTATCTCAAAAAAAAAAAAATAAAAATAAAAAAAAAATAAATAAATAAATAAATAAATAAATAAATAAATTTTATTTTTATACTAAAGGCTTAAGTAATACCTTCAATCTTACTAATTGTAAGAGAACTAAGGAGTTTTTCTCAACTTTTTTTGTGGTATGTTATTGATTTAAGGCTGATTTAACATAGAGTTTCAGTGTATATCAATCAGAAGTAAGATAATCTAGTTAAATTATATAAGTAGAAAAGAGGTGACAAGGTGATAATGAGTGTTATTGCAAATATTTGATGTCATGATAGTGTTCCTTTTCTAAGATTAAATGTAATAAAATACTGACAAGAAGTCTAAACCTAGCCATGATCCAGATTATTTGAATATCAATTAATATGAACATTTTCTGTATATATTTTGAAGTAAATTTTAGTGATGACCCCTCTTAATAACATAAATTGAGTACTTGTATTCCAGCTCTCACAACACAAAGAGGATTTAAGGGATAATCTTCTTCTCTTCTGTGAAAATCAAACATGCAAAGACTCTCATGATAATTTCCAAGAATAAATTATATGGGAGCCAACTATAAGGAACATATGTCCACTATTAAGCCCTTCTAATTCCTTGCTACTTATAATGTGGTCACTAGCACATATCAAAGTATGTTAGAAATACAGAAAAGGAGGCCCCACCCTAGATTTACAAAATCATACTCTACGTTTTTAAAAGATCTCTGAGTGATTCATATACATGGTTTTAGAAGCACTGCTTTAAATTTGGAGAAAGCATGAGAAAGAAGGAATTTGTGTAAACAATTGTATTTATATCTATTTTCTCATGTAACTAAGTATGCCACAGTACTAGTTATACAACACAATATTACATACTACTGTATTTGTCAAGCACGGTGTGAAGACATTCATAAAATTTATTGTCATGTTTTAAATCTCACCACAAACTTATATGATGAGAACTGTTATTGACATTTTATTAAAGGAAAACTGAGATTTACAGAAGTTGACAGGACAAGATCACACAGACAGTAATGGGTAGGAGACAGTCTGACCAAAGAACTTGTACATTTAATCATAATATGGGCTAGCATGTGGCTATGTGGAGATTTCAATTTATATCAAAATATGATGCCAATTTTTGAATGTAGAACATATAAATTATACAAAGACTACGATGAATAAAAAACATCCTGCCTCAGGCGGGGCGCGGTGGCTCACGCCTGTAATCCCAGCACTTTGGGAGGCCGAGGTGGGCAGATCACGAGGTCAGGAGATCGAGACCATCCTGGACATGGTGAAACCCCGTCCCTACTAAAAAATACAAAAAATTAGCCAGGCGTGGTGGTGGGCACCTGTAGTCCCAGCTACTGGGGAGGCTGAGGCAGGAGAATGGTGTGAACCTGGGAGGCGGAGCTTGCAGTGAGCCGAGATCGTGCCACTGCACTTCAGCCTGGGCGACAGACCAAGACTCTGTCTCAAAAAAAAAAAAAAAAAAAAAAAAAATCCTGCCCCATATTTCAAGAAAAAAAAAAGAAAACTTACAGTACATAAGTCTTAAAGTCTAGGCTTTCAAAATGCTCCCTATCAGCCAATTTATGGTTTTTTAAATGGTAAAATACGCAATCAGAAAAGTTTGGATGGGTACAAGTACTGGCTACTCATAAACCAAATAAATTTAATCTTCTATTCATGAAAACAAAGAGTGAGTGATATGGTTTGGTTATTTGTCCCCATCCAAATCTCATGTCTAATTATAATCCTCACATGTCAGGGGAGCTGGTGGGAAGTGATTGGATCATGGGGGGGATTTCCCGCTTGCTGTTTTTGTGATAGTGAGTGAGTTCTCACGAGATTTGATGGTTTAAAAGTGTGTGCCACTTCCCCTTTCACTCTCTCTCCCTCTTGTCACCATGTGAAGAAGGTCCTTGCTTCCCCTTCACCTTCTGCCATAATTGCAAGTTTCCTGAGGCCTCCCAGTCATGCCTCCCATTAAGCGTGCAGACCTGTGAGTCAGTTAAACCTCTTTTCTTCACAAATTGCCCAATTTCGGGTAGTTTTTTATAGCAGTGTGAAAACGGACTAATACAGTGAGATATTAAGAATGAATACTAGGCCTGGCAAGGTGGCTCATGCCTGTAATCCTAGCATTTGGAAGGCTGAGGCAGCAGGATCACTTGAGTTCAGGAGTTCAAGACCATCTGGGGCAATATAGCAAGACCTCCTCCGCTAAAAAAAAAAAAAAAAAAAAAAAAAAAAGAAAATAGTTAAAAGAAATTAGTCTGGGGTTGTGGTGCACCCCTGTAGTCCCAGCTGCTTGGGAGGCTGAGGTGGGAGGATTGTTCGTGCCCTGGAGAGCCATGCTGCAGTGAACTATGATGGTGCCACTACATTCCAACCTGGGCAATACAGCGAGACCTTGTGTCAAAAATAAAAATAAATAAAGAATGAATAAATTCTAAAATATTTAGATGTTCAGATGATCTTATACATTAGAAAATAATTATTTGTATCTGATTAAAAGATACATGTCTCTCCTTTAATCTGGAAGGGAAAGTACAGAATCAGACAGATATAAATATGTATTTTGTATTTTTCTTTCTTTGGTTAACAATACTTTTAAAATAAATTATAAAGATAATACAGGCTGCTCTATTTCACAGCAGTTCTGGGGACCAAATAATGAGCAAAAAATAAAGGATATACTACAGCGATTTTTCTCATATTCAAGTTCATAACTAATATGATTAAAAATAGCTTACATTTACTGAACCATTGCTTACATGTAAGGCACTGTCGCAAGATTTTTAAAAATATAATTTAATCTTTTTTTTTTTTTTTTTTTTTTTTTTTTTTGAGACGGAGTCTCGCTCTGTCGCCCAGGCTGGAGTGCAGTGGCGGGATCTCGGCTCACTGCAAGCTCCGCCTCCCGGGTTCACGCCATTCTCCTGCCTCAGCCTCCCAAGTAGCTGGGACTACAGGCGCCCGCCACTACGCCCGGCTAATTTTTTTGTATTTTTAGTAGAGACGGGGTTTCACCATTTTTTAGCCGGGATGGTCTCGATCTCCTGACCTCGTGATCCGCCCGCCTCGGCCTCCCAAAGTGCTGGGATTACAGGCGTGAGCCACCGCGCCCGGCCAAATATAATTTAATCTTAACCATGAAATAAGAATTAGCTTTTTTTTCAGATGAGGAAACACTAAACTGTTAAATGTTGGCTTCAGGATTTAAACTTAGGTAGACTGGCTCCCGTTCTCACAAATCATGCATATAATTTTAGGAAAAATTTTATCTCCCAATATATTTAACATATTTCAGATTTCCTTCCTCTTTAAGTCAAAATGTACATCTAATTTTCTCTCTGAATTATTTTAGAGGTGTATGTTATCATCTCTTTATAGTCACATTGCCTTAATGATCTCATAAGTGAGATAGATGCCATGGGTTTATTTGATCAATATATACGAATTATGACTTTAGTACCAAGTTTCCAGTTTTTCCATTCAAAAAAAGACCGAAAGATAAACTATACTGTAATTTGTTTCCTTGCACCATCTAGTGGATTTAAATGACAACTGCAGCATTGCTATAAACGATTCACCAGTCAATCATGTAAGTCAAATTTTCAAACACCTCCGGAGAACTGTTCCTAAAATGATGTTTCGAATCACACCACAACAGTGCATATAATTATTAAAATTTTCCACTTTTCAGAGGATATCAATTAAGCGTGGCTGCTGAATTCATTAGCGAATGTTTAAATTTACAAATAAAGTAACATAAAATAGCATCCTCGCAATTTTTTAATAATCAGAGATAATGGAAGTCATACACTAAGTTCATCCTGTTCCTTTTCATAAACTCAAACGCTCTCAAAGCAGCAGCGCGTTGAGAAGCCCCAAGAGTCTGCGCGGAACCAGTGCGCAGGCGCTCTGAGGGGCGGAAGCGGAGAGGCGGGGCTAGGCCCGACAGGGGAGCGGAAGAGGCCCAGGAGGCTGGGTGAGGCGCTGAGACGGTTTGGCGGTGAGTCCTGGGCCAGGCGCAGCTGAAAGGCCCGCAACCCGGGAAACGTCAAAACAAACAGAAGGACTTGGGATTCCGGAGCAGTCGCCCCTATCGCTGCTCCTGCAGTTGCGGACGCCACCGACCCCGCCGCCGGAGGACTGGGCACTGAAAGGCCTCTAGGCCTAGGCGCGGCCCGCGGAGCCAGACGTGTTGCTGCCGTGAGTAAAACGAGCGCCCTCTCCGCACTCGTTTACAAATTAAAATGGAGGAAATTTCGTTGGCCAACCTGGATACTAACAAGCTAGAGGCCATCGCTCAGGAGATTTACGTAGACCTGATAGAGGATTCTTGTTTGGGATTCTGCTTTGAGGTGCACCGGGCAGTCAAGTGTGGCTACTTCTACCTGGAGTTCGCAGAGACTGGTAGCGTGAAGGATTTTGGCATTCAGCCAGTGGAAGACAAAGGAGCGTGCCGCCTCCCGCTTTGCTCCCTTCCCGGAGAACCTGGGAATGGGCCTGATCAGCAGCTGCAGCGCTCACCTCCGGAATTCCAGTAGCTGCAAAATGAGAGTCTGAAAGTGGCCAGGACAATAACATAGACTGGTCCTGTGGCTTCGAGGAGTAAGCTAAGTAGAAAAAAGTAGAAAAATCAGACAAAAGTTTTAATTCCCCCTTGAAGATCCTAGCATTTAAAAACCCAAAGTGGATAATTTAGGAATCCTTTTTTTAAAGTGTATTACCTGGAGCAAGCTCTGAAGCCCTGGGCAGGAGGAGCTGCACAGCCTGCGGGCCATGCAGTGCCTGTTGATCTCTAAACACACCAGGATGTGCGCAAGATCCTGTAGTGCCCCCAGTGCACAGGTGAGCAGTTGTGTGCCCAGCATATAAAATTTTTGGTTCCTCAGCCTTTCTGTCTGCCTGATGTCAAGGGCTTCTTGGACAGTTTGGACGTTACAGTTCGTCAGGCCGTGATCAGTGGCCTGCAGTGGGACTGCTCCTTTGATATCTGAACCTCTGTTATGGGCTTCTCTGAGACAAGTAAATGTCAGGTGCAAGATCTGGATACTAACAGTTTCAGTTTGGGAAATCCAAGAAAAAGAATTATCAAGTTTGATAGGGAAGCTCTGTAGCCTTGACTCCAGCAAGAAGAAAAGGTCAAAACCACGTGTTTCCCAAAAGTCCAGACTACAATGATTCAGCTGACTTGAGGACAAGGCCTAGCATTTGGCTGAGCAGAGCCCTCTTCCTTGCCCTCCAACCTGGTGGCATAGGCTTGGCAAATGGACAACTTGGTTGTCCAGACAGGTTGAGGATTCGGTTATGATCCCCTGGGGAGGTAGCAGGGACCTCTGCAACTATGCATGATTTCTCAAACTTCAAGATTCATGTCTGGATGTATTATGCTGTGGATATAAGTTTAGTAGGGCGGTCATTTCCTACTCTGAGTTACTGGTTACCTAGCCAGTCCATGGGTGTGACTTGGTCCTTAAGTCAGGTCACTATCTGCCTCCCACCCTGGGGGCAGGACTGAAGTATGGAAGAGCATCATGGCTGTGCAGGAGGCTGTGGTTTGAAAACTGAGCCCAGAGGGCACTTTCAGCTGCCCTCAATAATGTGAATGGATTAGTGCTAGGAGCCAAGGAGCAGGACTGGATTATCTCATCTGACTGTGTGCAGAATCCTGTTGAATGTCCCTGTTTTCTTTGGTTGGGCAGTCAGAGCTCTGCTATGGTGAACATCCAGACTGTCACCACTTTCTGTCTGCCGCTCGAAAGGGATAGTCCTTTCCACTCGGTCCCCTTTGGATCTTCTTGACAACAGGAGCAGTCCTTTTATTGTTAGAAGTCAGAGAAAGACCTCCAGAATCTCCTGACTTTAGGGAATGGTATAGGGGAAGATGGGAAGTAAGAGTCACATATCAAAACTACCCTCCACTTTATTCCCTGAGCGAGGGTTTATGAAGTATAAAGGGGTGGGAGCCCCGAGGTGAGCGGGAACGGTGCTGCTTTATTTGAAATGTTTTCTTACCTCATTCTGTGCCCCAGTAGGGGGTCCAGCCTCATCTGTCTGGCTTGGCCCTGTGTTCCTCCTGTCCCCTGCTCCACTGCCTATCTGGTGCCCCAGGTGCTGCTTGCCACTCCAGCTGTCACATTGAACAGTTTCAATTCAGCTCTTAATGCTCCTGCTTCCGAAGCCTGCCCAATTTCTTTTTTCTTGGCCTCTGTTTTTTTTTTTTCTTTCTTTTTCCCTTGTTTTTGTAGAAGACTCAGAGGAGAATCTTTCTTATGGCTCCCTCTGTTGAGATTGGAATTGGAAGAGAACTTAATTTTTTGTATTTAAAATGCAGTGTCATGCCTATAAGCATTTCTCCTATATAGGACTGCTTTGCTAGTGTGCCCTCTTGCTGTGTCTTACTTCATAAGGAGTTGTATCTTCCCACCTCCATTTCAATACTGCCGGTTAGGACCTAAGTAGAAGAGCAGTAAAGGCTGATTGACACACAGGGGGATGGAGTTGGTCCTTGTCCATTCTCTCACCCTTGCTGTGCATGTATCAATCCTTATCCCAGAAGGTACTATTTAGACTGTATAGACTGATTTAGATTACATACTTTAGAGGATTAAGGAAACCATAGAGTTTGGGCCTTGGAACTGTTACTGCCTTGTCCTAGAGTTGTCCTGATCAGGCTTGGGGCCTAGTTACAGATTAGTCTTAAAGAATTGCATTAACTTAAAAAAAATCAAACCTTGGCAAGAGCTAAAATAATTTGGAGATATCTTTGCCCTTGACTTGTAGACGACATCTAAGAGGATGAAGAAAGGAGAGTCTAAGTGAGACTCTGGCCTACTTCCTAACAATGTCTTGGAAGTGGGATGATGGTAAAGGAGAAAGGCCACAGTCCAATCCCTCTGCCTTCAGATAGGGAACTCAAATCCTGAAATTACTGTTTTCTTTCTGGCCTTTTCTCCTGGTTAGAGGAGGAAGCGGAAAGTAGTTTTGAGTAGTATTTTGTTCATATTACCCCCCTTTTGTTTTTTGTTTCTGGCCCCTCTACCAATAGGGCAGTAGCCTCCTGCCCTGGATGGGTATAAGGTGGGCTTGGTCCAACAGGTGCCCAGAGGGTACATACTCCTTTCTGGGGAGAGAATGCTCCCTACCATATAGTTGACAGTGGTTAGGAACTCTCCCTTTCCCTACCTACCTTCCTTTTAATAGCAGAATTCCTATTTTTCCCTTGATTATGTGTATTGATCACCCTGCAATCCTATTATGTATCTGAGTGTGTGTGTGTGTGTATGTGTGTGTTATGGGGGAAGGGGGGGGTTCTTTAAAATTTCTGTGGTTTGTGGCTTTTTCTTCCATACATTAGTTCCCACCATCGCATGCCCAGGGACCACTGCCTGGCATTATCGCATGCTGGGATCATCGGGGGAGGGTAGTGAAGCTCACCACTGTCCTTTGTTTTGGAGATTTTTATTTTTGCATAAGTAGTCCATCCTATACAGATAGCTGATTAACTGTATTCCCCTTTCCCCTATGGCTGCTGGTGTAAATAAACTGCATCTCCCCATTGGTAAACAGTAATAAAATTTTAAAAAATGACTACTTGGTCCTTGGACTCTGTATATTCATCTTTTAAAGCTGTATGTTTTCAGGCATTGACATAATGAGATAAACGTTGAAATGCTATTGAACCTTAATACTTCCTCCCTAACAGGAGTTTTATCAGAACAGAGAAACTGTCCAACCTTGTTTCTCAATTTGGCCTGCAAATTTAACTGTCTGTAGCATCCAGTGAAAGAGCCAAACCGTATACAATCATCCCTTTTCCATATGAGGTAAGAAGGTGGTAAGATAAATCCAGTCCTGTCACTAAAAGCCCACTGTGACAGATAGTTCCATTTGAATTGAACTCAATATATCTTAGTAAGTACATTTTACCATCATTTTAAGCTAATATCCTTGTTCTCAAAAGGTAAAGTGATTCACAGCAGACGATGGTTCTGCCTAATTTTTTTCTCAATACTTAAAAAATTACCTCAACACTTTAGATCTTTCATTTCATTTTTAATAGTAATTCTGAGGTTTTTCATCCCATTCCTAACCCAGAGTTTGAGCACTTCCCCTAGAAACTACTTAGTGATCCTGTGTCCTAATCAGTCTCTTGCTATGTGTTCTAATTTATTAAAGTTTCGTATTGGACATAATACTGAGATTAATAAAAATTACAGAAATGAGTCCAGAGAAGAATCTGACTCAATAGGATACCTCAGGGAAGCTTATAGATGTGTAACATGGTATTGAGTCTTCTCTTCTAGGAGCACTCGATGTACTTGTCACTGTCCAGTTTAAATAGGCCAGGGCCAACGTGGTGATTTGAGAAAACTTAAAAATTTGACGTGTGAAACCCATGATGTAACCATAGCAGGAGAAATTCTTCAAATGAAATTTCACCAAGATTGGGTATTTTGCCTTAAGTAAGATTTCTACTACTTTTATTAAAATTCACTGTAGGGATCTACTATCAATTAGCTTTCAAATACATCTGCAGCAAATACTTTTGGTTCCTGTTTTGTAGGTTTGGAGTTTAATATATTTAGTGCTAAGCTAATTAGTTTTCTAAAAAGATAATTGCAAGACCCCTGCTTTACCAAATACTTGACAATGGGACTTTGAAGGTTATTTCTTATGTTTTCTGACTAGTATGATCTTTAAAGAAAAAAAAAAACACATTGCATACCTTTTAACTACCAATGTTTAACCTCCTAGATTTAGCATTTAACTACAGCATGTACCATCAGGTCAAGAATCTGATAAATGATTGCTTGATGTTGACAAAGTGAAAGACAAAATGAAGTGTACTGAAGTAACTAAAAATTCAGGAAGAACTTTCTTGTGCACACATTAATAAGTAACATTGCCTTCTCTTAAGACCTATCTGAAGTGTTGTGAAGTTTTTCTTACAATTTTTTAAAAGAGATTTATGAAGAAACTATGTGCTAAAAGCACAACAATTATTAAATTTATTTTCATGTTGTTGTTTAATTATGGTTAACGAATTGCCAGTTTTCAAGTCAGCCAGAGATAATACCAGATTTCAGAAGTTTTACTCTGCTGTGAAGGATTACGAGCTCTCTGATTTTCATTTATGTTCCAAAAGATGCCCATAATGTTGCTTTGGAGGACAGCATTAGAAGTGATGTTCCTATTCAAAAAGGTTTTGTGGATAAACCTTAAACTCTTGGCGGTGTTTTTGTTTGTATTTGTTTTCCCATTTTTGAAAACATTTTCAATCATATTTCTTGAGACTCATTGGAAATATGTGAGCTAAAAAGGAAATACTAAATTGATTTTAGAGATGAAAAAAAAATCTTCAGCAGCAGTGACTTGCCCATAGTTCAAAAAGCAAAAATTTACAAGTGGTGGAAGCAAAAGTAGAATGCTGCTGTTGTGACTCCTAGGTCAGCGGTCTTTGTTGAAGCAATGGAGTAATAAATCAAACGACTAATTAAAAACAAAACAATGAAAAATCCATGATGCTTATGAACAACGTTAGGGCAATGAATTTGAAAACAAAAAAAGGGAAGTCTATTTTAAAATAGAACTCAAAAGTAACTCAAGGAATTGTTAATTTTTTAAGTAAATGAATACATCTATAACTTTTAAAACACCACACAATTAGAATTTTATAGAGAATACAGTAAATGAAACAACAACAACAAAAACAGGCAAAATAATACCAAAATAGATTTTTTTTTTAAATGAAGATGTTAGCAAACCAACTCCTTTAAAATAACAAAAGTAAACATCAACAAGTCAGTTTAATCACAGGATGGCAAGATTTCATCTCAAAATCATCACATTACCATTAGAGAAAATCCATGTGAAAATTTGAACTGATACTGAAAAATAGTTTGAAAAAATTCAATACGAATTATTGCCTAAAAAACAAAGACATTAACAATATAGAAACCAAAGCTCAAGAACTTGTACACACTGCAAAAGGGTATGTACCAAAAATCTACACCAGTTACTATACTTATTAATGAATACTTGGAAGCACTCCCTTTAAAAGCAGGAATGGAAGAAACAAAATTTTTACTGTTCTAAGATGATATTTACATGAACAATTTTATAGAATCTAGAAACAGTTGTTCTCAGATGACATCTACATCTACATGGATAATTTTATAGAATCTACAAACATACCATTGAAAGTAGTGAGAAAATTTAGCACAGTTACTGGATATAAGATCAATATCTAAAATCAGAATACCAACATTTAAAAAGTGTTATTAAATTTAGAATGTAATTCAACAAGTTATAACAGTCCTATGAAATAATATCACAAGAACTGTGTAAGATTTTATAAAGAAAATAATATTTTCTAATATGTTGGGAAAATCCCAAGTAAATGGAGAGAAGATGTTCACGCACAGAAAATGCAATCAATATCATTGCTCCAAATTATGTGAATCGGAAGCAATCTGTATTACAATCCAAATAGATGTGCTCATGGAACTTGACAAATTAATTTTAAGATTTATATGAACACCAGATGCTAGAATAGACAAGATCTTTTTGACAGATGTATATTTTAGTTTTGGTGCAGAAACAATGGAATAGAATAGAGTTTAGAATTAGATCGAAACACACAGATTACACGTTTATGTCTTGATGTGTGGTTAAATTTGTATTATAATCAGTGGAATATAAACCAGTATTGTGGAACAGATTATCCATAAATAATAAAACTGTGCTCAGACACAAAATTAATTCCTATATGGATTAAAGATTTAATGTGTAAAAGTAAAAAATGTCAAATCTTTCTAGAAAAATATAGGAGGATGTGTTCATAATTGTGTATAAGGGGAAAATTTCTTAAAAGTACAAAACATAGAGAAAAGATTGATGTGTTCGACCATAATAAAAATAGAACTTTCTGTTCATTAAATCATACTAGAAACAAACAAACCAATAACCTGATGTGCTAGTTGTTTAGTTCTTATAACTGATTAAAGATTACTAACAAAATAGTTGTACAATTGCCAAATGTATAAAGTAAAAGAACAGCTCATTCTTACAAAAAGAAATATGAATGGCCAAAAAGTTGTAAAAGTTCCCTTAGGTTCAAAGAAATGCAAACTAAAAACAAAATACCAATTTACCCTACTCAGTATGATTAAATTTTTTTAAATGGTGATGACATCAACTCTGAAAGGCATATGGAGCAATTAAAACACTTAAACTGCTAGTAGGCTGTAAATTGGTAAAAAATGTTTTTAAAAGCAATTTAGAAATACCTGTTGTGGTTGAAGACAAAAGTAACCAATATCCCAATATTTCCACCTGTTGCAGCATTATATGTAATAGGGAAAAATTGAAAGTAATATACCCATTTGGAATACATATAGTCACTATACTGAAGTGAGAATAAATTAACCAGAGCTGTACAAATAAAATAGTAAACCTATGTTCTTATACTTTGTTGCCTTTCTTTTGATGTTTAACAATAGGCAAATCAATGCTGTATGTTGTTTAAATAATTGTGAATATGAAATAAAAACTATACCAAAAATATTGGATGAGACTTCCACTTTCATGGTTATGTTCCTGTAGATAGCAGACTAATTGATATAGGACATCAGTATGCTAAGTAAATTGAGGTAAAGATACTCTTAAATGCATTACTGTGTTCCCAAGGAAGTGAAGGAAATACCCAGAATACCCAGGTCTTTCTTCTAACGCACACACACCCCAAAGATACAAATGAAAACAGAAAAGGAGAGTGCACTGAGGAAAATATAGATACCATATGATACTGGGAGATTAGACCCTGATCATCACAAATTGAAACTGTAAATGCAAGATGCCTGAAATAAAGTTTATATCCTTGGTGAAAGGATGGGCAGAGTAAAACTAGATAGATTGATAAATGATTGATTAATGGGTGGACAGATAAGAGAAACCTTCATTACTTTAGAGAGAACAGATGAAAAAGAAAGACTCTGCTATTGCCTGAGGTGAAATGAATTGACTAAAATAATAACAGTCATGCCATTATCATCAACATTTACTTTGGGAATGTGTACCCATACACTTGGTTTCACATAGCTACCCTACCCTGCCAGTCAGAGAAACTTTGACCTGAGAATTTCATAATGTATTGAAAATGATATTGTACCTCTTGGCTACCTGACAAAATTTTGTTCCTTCAACATTTTCACAAAATATAAGTTTGCAATAAAAGAAGCATCTGTTTCTTTAAAGATTTCATTTATAGCCATCATACTTTTTATCTAATAAATCTGTTTACAAGAAAGGAATTCTAACTCTATAGTTTATTATTTCTGCTGACTATATATAATTAGAACTTTCTCAGAATTATTAGATACAGAATATGGCCTTAAATGAAATCTGTACATTAGTAGATGGAATTTTAAACGAGCAAAGAACAGGAGAAAATAATGCAGTTTTAAAAATTAAAGTAATAGAAATAAAAGTGCAAAGAATGTATTCCAAAAAAATTTAACGTCATTGTATAGGTAAAATCTCAGTTTAATCAAGCTGGAAAAAGAGAAGGAATGAATCAGAATGAAGCAGTTCATGCACAGCAGAGTAGTTGTGTTGCCTCGTCTCCCAGTGATAAACTTACATGCTATTTTTTAAATAAAATAGATAATCAAAAAGTGAAAGTGCAGCAAAGAAAAAAAGTGATAACACTTGAATTGCAATTGAATGTAATTAGAAGATGGCTGATCTTCAGAATGGTGACACAACATTCTAGAGGCCCAAGATATACAGCCAGAAGAACTCAGTCAATGAGAACATTGGCCGTAATGAAAAAGAATGAAGATGTTTCAGAAGAAACAAAGCTGTCAATAAACGACATTAGGTGTTATGTCAGATATTTCAAGATACTGAAAGTGCAAAAGGTAAGTTGTGGCCGGGCGCGGTGGCTCACGCCTGTAATCTCAGCACTTTGGGAGGTCGAGGTGGACAGATCACTTGAAGTCAGGAATTTAAGACCAGCCTGGCCAACATACCAAATACAAAATACGATGTAAAAATACAAAAATTAGCCAGGCTTGGTGGTGAGTGCCTGTAATCCCAGCTACTTGGGAGGCTGAGGCAGGAGAATCACTTGAACCTGGGAGATGGAGGTTGCAGTGAGCTGGGATCGTACCACTGCACTCCAGCCTGGGCGACAGAGTGAGACTCAGTCTCAAGTATGCTAAGGAGAATTCTAGATTCCTGTCCCCTGGTTATTCAACCAAATAGTAATCTGCTGTGAAAGGATTTTGCAGATGTAATTAAAGTCCCAAGTCAGTTGACCTTAACATGTGGTGATTATGTAGGTGGTCTTGACCCAATCACATAAGCACTTCAAAATCAGAGTTTTCTTCATCTAGTAGTGGAAGAAGACAGATTTTAAGTGTGGGAAAGATTCAGTGCACCATGGCTTGCTTTGAAGATGGACTGGGCCACATGAGAGGAATGTGGCTGCATCTAGGAGCTAAGAGTGGCCTCCAGTTTACAGATAGCAAAGAAATGGGGATATCAGACCTAAGGCAATAATAGGTTGTGGATTGCATTCTGCAAAAAACGAACAAACAAAACCCTGAATGAGCTTGGAAGCAGATTCTTTGCCAGAGCATCCAGATAAGAGCCCAAACTAGCTAACACTTCGTTGTCAGCCTTGTAAGACCCTTAGCACAAAGCTCAGCCTAGCAGACTGTGACTTTAGAACTAGAGAACTGTGAGAAAATAAAGGAAGGTTTTAAGAAGCTAAGTTTGTGATGTCATTATACAACAATAAAAACCTAATACAGTCATAAGCTGATCCAGATTTAGGAGTATGTCAGTTCACCAAGGCACAGAAAAGGTGCTTGCTCTATATCTTGATTTACATATGAGAATATGAGAAGAAGGATAGCAACGTTCAAACTATTCTTCTTCTTTTTTTTTTTTTTTTTTTTTTTTGTGTGTGTGTGACAGAGTTTAGCTCTGTCACCCAGGCTGGAGTGAAGTGGCATGATCCCGGCTTACTGCAACCTCCATCTCCCGGGTTCAAGTGATTCTTCTGCCTCAGCCTCACCAGCTGGGATTACAGGCACATGTCATCATGCCCGGCTAATTTTTGTATTTTTAGTAGAGAGAGGGTTCCACAATGTTGGCCAGGCTGATCCCGAACCCCTGCCTGGCCTCAAGTGATCCACCCGCCTGGGCCTCCCAAAGTGCTGAGATTACAGGCATGAGCCATTGCGCTCGGTCAGTTCAAACTATTCTTGATAAATTTTGTACAAATAAAATACATTTATTCTCAATGTTTCTAATGTTTAAAATCACAGTGTATGTAAATACTGCTTTTACTATTCTTTTATTTCCCTGTACATTCATCACGTTTATCATGTTTATTAATAAGAAAGTTTCCAATATTGCAACAATATTATTTTTGTTGCAATATTGTCACCAAATGATCTTAATTATTCCTATTTATTATTAACATTGCTTTGCACAATTTTGGTTTGCATGATCATTTTTATAGTCCCTCACACCGTGCAAAACTAGGGCTGACTATGTCACTATTATTTATTTTCTTAAATATTTCAAGAGATATTAATACTGTATCTCTTCTGTTGAATTAATTCCAAGTAAAAAAAAATAGCAGTCAAGTAAACAGTACTTTCCAGGGATAACTTGGGAGGTTTAGCTTAAAACACAAAACATATAAGTCTCCCAGATAGCACTGACAGAAGAAGAAAAATAAGGAAAGCAGTTGGTAGCAAAAGGAAAGAAGAATATAGACTAAATAGGGCATAGTTAACCAAGAATCAAGAAGAGGAGAAAGGTAGTAAGTATCTGCATTAATGAAAAATCTAAGTGAATTACGTGAATGAGAAAAAATACAAAGTATAAGAAGAAGGAAAAAGTTTGTAGGCATCATACTCAAATATATGCATTCTAATCTTCATCCTTTCATTTATTACTAGAGTGAATTTGGGAAGGTAAGTTATTTTTTATGAACTTCAACTTCATAATAATGGAGATAGCAATATACCTCACAGTGTTATGTGACCTACTGCATGTAAGTTTAATCTAGTTTGGGTAATGAGTGATGAAGAATAAGGCTTTCTTGAGAAGATGGTATTTAAACTGAGAACTGAAGGATGACTTGCCTAGGCAAAATTTGTCAGAGTACATGGAGAGTGAATTAGCGGTGGGTTGTAAGGGAGGGATGGAGGTGAGGAAAAGGATTAAAGCTAGTATGTTAGAGATAACCACTTAAATTGAAAATTTAAAGCTCTGGAGAAATGATTATGCCTCTTGGAGATTTAAAAACTCTCAGTTTTTAACATAAATTCATATATCTTCTCCATCCCTATCAGGAGGTGTTTCAGGATGCTGTTTAATGGAATTGTCAATAGATGGTGATATTTATAATTGGCATGAACTCCTTACTAGTATCTTGTCAGGTAAATAGATAGGTCGTAATTAGGAATGTTATTCCACAGGGCTCTAAAAAGGCAACCTCTCATTAATACAATAACACCTTATACCCGCCAGGTTAATCTTAATTTTCAAGATGAAGTGCTGTCTTAAAGACACAGTGACCTTCCCACTTTTAATGTGCTTTTATTTCCTAAATTTGCTCTTCCGCTGCATTCTCCTCAGTCTCCCAGTTCTCTCCATTTTCAGACACAAACACATACACACACATGCATGAACAACACAGACATACACGAATGAGATATAACTTTAAATCAAGTCCTGAGGTCCTCTCAGTTCAGAGTAAGGTTAGCTAATCTGCTTTTGCTCTTGCTGCTGTATGATTATTACAGTTCAAGGATTTACTTGCACTCTAGCCACTTTTGCAGTTTGAAGGTGGATTAGTGTTGCCCTCTTACTTAAGTACTTCTCTTATAGCTAAACTTGCTTTTTGAATTTAAACTGCTTGTGTTATTTCTGCTTGATATTGAATTCAACAATGATTCAAAAATTGATTTAGATTTTGTGTAATAGATTGGAAATAACAAGCTTAGTCTTGATTTTACAAGAAACTGTGTGACCTCAATCAGATAACTTCATCTCTTTGGGCCAAGATTTCTTATTGATAACAAATAAGCTTGAATAAAACAATGTCTTAATTCCATTCAACACTCTATGAGTCTATGAGCTAAAAAGTTGGACAATCACCGCCAAAACCATCATATTCCCAGGATTAGCTTACCATCTAAATACACGGACTTTATTATACATAGACTATAGGTTCCATTACATCAGTCTGTAATTCTGTTTTATATATTGTTCTAGGACTTTGCTTCAGACCTCTTATGACCTCTTTGATTAGAAATATATCTTTCTAAACCATGATGTTATCTTTGTTTCACATTTATGTATCCAAGGACAACCTAGATATCTCCAATTATAGGTATCACAGAAAACTCACATCTCATATTATGCAAAACTGAAGCCTGGTGAGCCTGTGCCCCAGTGAATTTTATTCATTCCAAATGTTGAGAACCGCTGTCATAGAGAGAAAGCAAAATGTAACTGTTAATCCTATCAGTCTCCTGTAGGACATTCCTAGGAGGTTAGAGACCTAGGACAATTGGTTTTCTCTTCTGGATGAGTTCCTATACATGTAAACTGTTTGACTTAAAAATGTATTACAAAATTAATAGAACATATGATAAATAGTGATTTATTGATAACAATAGATAGAGAAAAGCTACTTCATCTTTGTTTATTGCCCAATCAGTGCATGAGGATTTCATATTATTGAGGAAATATTTCATATTCCTGGACCTATTTGGTCCAGCAATGACATTGCTCTTTGGAATCTTGTTTATATTGAAATAATATAAATGTCTTGCCTCTGCAATTTCCTAATACCCTTGATTTAATGCTTATTACATTATTCATGATGTGGAATCATCTGCCATACAACTATGAACATTCTATTCCAATGGCTATCTCACAGTTTATTAATATGTTTTGTTGGTTATGATCACCAGTGTAAGTTTTACCCACGATATACAGTGAAATTTGCGCAATAATTAGATTTATGGATATATTAAATTTACCAAAAGGAAATTTGTATAGTGTAAATGTAGAACAACACATCTTCCAGTAGCATTGGAAGAGTCTCAAATTCTTCAGGCCATAGTCACTAAATTCCTAGAGTGTGATATTTTTCAATATTCACTAAATCATACCTACCACTCCAACCCACGAGTAGGGTGGATAGGTAAGGGGCCGTCAGTAGAGAGAGAGCAGCAGTCTTGTTCATACAAGGAGGATCCATCCCATGTACTGTAAGGCTGAAGATCATGCCAAGAGAACATAAGGCCACCACATAAATTGGAGGCAAAAGAGAACAACTATCAGAAGGGCCATTAGGATTATGGAGTTATAGTCTTAAAAGCCCCTGGAGAAGATATATGCAACTGTCCCTGGAGAACTGCCTGACATGCTGTACATAGAAGGAGTTTGGAGTAAGCAGCGGGGTTGCTAGCAAGAGGAGCAACAGTGGATGCCGCAAGGTAAAAACTACTGCTGCTACCCCTGCCATGTTCTGGTGGTAAACAAAAGAGACAGCCCTATAATTGGAACAGACACCAAGATGGACAAGAGCCAATATATAACTCTCACATACTTGGTTCAAGTCCAAGTGTTGGCATTGGACCAATGGTAGGCTAGAGCCCTGAACTTGCCATGCCCATGAGTGACTGTCACACGGAATCAGTATGACAGTAACTTTCTGGCTGCATAATCTTGTATAATCCAAATAAAACAAATAAATATAATTTAATTATATCTAATTATATTTAATTATATATATCCTACTCTGGATAGGAGGAACTGGGGCCAGACTACAATTACTAAGCTCCTTAAGACATACCCAATGTAGAGGGTTCTGATGGTTAATTTTATGTGTAAGCTTCACTAGGCGAAAGGATGTTCAGATAGCTAGTACAACATTATTTCTGGGTGGGTCTATGAGGGTGCGTCCTTCCTTAAGAGATTAGCATTTGAATTAGTAGACTAAGTAAAGAAGATCCACCCTTACCAATGTTGACAGGCATCATGCAATCTTTTGAGTGTCCAAATAGAACAGAAAGGTGGTAGAAAGGTGAATTTTGTCTTCTTGAGCTAGGATTCCTGCCCTCAGACAACCTGCCTTCAGATTCAATGTTGCTGCTTCTTGGGCCTTTGGACTCTGAAACTTACACCAATGGCTTCCTGATTCTCAGGCTTTATCCTTCAGTTTCCAGCCAGAAGTTATACCATCAACTCCCTTGATTTTCAGACCTTCAGACTTGGACTGAATTATATCATCAGCTTTCCTGGCTTTCTAGCTTGCAGAGAGCATATTGTGGAACTTCTTTGCCTCTATAATCATATGAGCACATTTCCATAATAAATCTCTTACATATCTATATGTATCCTATTAGTTCTTTTTATCTAGAAAACCCTGACTAATGCAAGGGTCAAAGATCATACTGCAAGGATCTGGTCCAGGATAGTACTGCCACCCTTGGCCACTCCTAGGTACTGGAGGGGGCTTAGAACATTTTGAAGAAAGCACCCTGATGCACCAGGAATGCCCTCAGATGTGGGCCTATAAGAAGGACCCACTTTTCCAGACTAAGCGTGGTTCTGAACCACCATATAAAAGTTGTTTCCTTCTGGTTCTATCTCCTAAATATTTACTTCATTCTTTTTCCATTCAACGACAGCTCTTCTATCATAAGCTGTATACTGTACACTTCAGGCAAAATAAATGTATGTGGCTTTTTGTTTGTTTGTTTTTAGTTCTCTAAATTTCATGACTTTGCTCATTTTGCCCTGACTTACGTTCTGTCCCTTAGCTTAGCTAACTCTTAAATATTTTTTAAGTTTCAGTAAACATAGAATGATTTTGGAAACTTTGTTAAAATTATATGTGTTTGGGTTTATTTCTGGACTTCTATTTCTATTCCCTGAGCCTATATGTCTATCCTTATGTCAGTATAACAATGTTTTGATTACTGTAGCTTTACAGTAAGATTTGAAATCAGGAAGTGAAAGTCTTTCTACATTGATTTTCTATTTCAATAATGTTTTGGCTATTTGGAGTCCCTAATTTGAAGAGATGTTTATCCATTTCAGCAAAAAAGGCCATTGGAATTTACAGGAATTATATTGAATCTGTATCTCACTTTATGGGGAAAGAATAGTTTCTTCCACAAATGGTGCTGCTACAACTGGATAACCACATACAAAGAATAAAGTTGGACCTCTAGATCACTCCATATGTAAACATTGCCTCAAAATGGATCAACAACCTACATGTAAGAGCTGAAACGATATAACTCTTAAAAGAATGCATACAGGTGGGGCCAGGCGCGGTGGCTCACGCCTGTAATCCCAGTACTTTGGGAGGCCAAGGCAGGTGGATCACGAGGTCAGGAGATCGAAACCATCCTGGCTAACACGGTGAAACCCCATCTCTACTAAAAATACAAAAAATTAGACGGGCGTGGTGGCAGGCGCCTGTAGTCCCAGCTACTCGGGAGGCTGTGGCAGGAGAATGGCGTCAACCCGGGAGACGGAGCTTTCAGTGAGTGGAGATCAAGCCACTGCACTCCAGCCTGGGCGACACACCGAGGCTCCGTCTCAAAAAAAAAAAAAAAAAAAAAAAAAGTGCACACAGGTAAATCATCCCAACCTCAGATTAGCAATAGATTCTTAGGTTTGGCACCAAAAGTATAAGCAACAAAACAGAAAATAGATAAATTTTACTTAAACCAAATTTAAAACGTATCAAAAGACATTTAAAAAATGTAAAAAGACAACACAGAGAATGGGAGAAAATATTTGCAAATCTTATGTCTGATAAGGTTTACTATCCAGAATATATTAAAGAACTCTTACAACTCAAAGACAAAAAGATGAAGAACCAAGTTAAAACATGGAAAAAGGACTTGAATAGTCATTTCCCTAAAGAAGATATACAAAAGATCGAAAGGCAAAGGAAAAAAATGTTCAGCTTCATTGGTCGTTAAAAAAATGCAAATCCAAACCACAATGAGATACCACTTCATACTCACTAGGATAGCTTTAATAACACACAAACAAACAAACTGGAAAATAAATATTGATGAGCATGTGGATAAGTAGGTTGCGTGGCGCATTGTTAATGGGAATGTAATATGACACAGACACTGTGTAAAATGCTTCGTGGTTCCTTAAATAGTTAAACATGGAATTACCATATGACTCGGCAATTTCACTCTTAGGTGTATATACCTAAGAGAAATAAAAGTGTATGTCCACAAAGAAACTTGTACACAAATATTCATAGCAGCATTATTCATAATAGCCAAAATGTGAAAACAATCCAAATGTCCATCAGGATGGATGAATGGATAAATACATTGTGATATATATATACACACAATGAAATATTAATTAGCCATGAAAAACAATAAAGTCCTGACAGTGCTATAATTTAAATGAACCATGAAAACATTATTCTACATCAAAGAAACCAGATAGAAAAGGCTTCATATTATGTGATCCTTTTTAAGTGATATATCCAGAATAGGTGACTCTACAGAGACAGAAAACGGTTGAGGTCCCTAAGGAATCAGAAGTGGGGAAAATGGAAAGTGATTACTTAACAGGTACAGAATGTTTTGTGGGGTGATGAAGCAGTTTTAAAACTAGAGAGAGCTGGTGGTTGTACAACAATGTGAATATAGCAAATGCCAGTGAATTGGGTACTTTGAAATAATTAAGTGTATGCTATGTGAATTTCACCTCAATAAAAGAACAAGAAAAAGGCACAATCATGTATTACCTGTACCAGAAAACATAACTAGAAGGCAGCCTGGATTAGCTGGTCCTACTCATGGCTTCTATAATATTCCTTGCCTATCACCATATAACACCTTGTAAAATTGTGTTATAATATTATTTTAATATGTCAATTTACATATATATCATATGCTAGATTATAAATTCTTGAGGGCAGAGACCATGTCTTACTCTGAAAGTTACCTGGTGCCTCACAAATAGTAAGTACTCAATGTTTAGTTTACTTTGATGGTATCCAGGCTGCTAACATAAGATGTATGTTTAAAAGAGTTTGTCTAGGTTGTTTTAGAAACCTAATAATCGGTTAAATATTTCACTTGAATTCTATTGATTTTCCTGTAATTAGACTATCTTTTCTGGCTACTATGGTCTTTTATTATTCGGCTGCCTGTTTATTCTCTGATTATAAAAATTTTAAACACATGTAGCTTATATTTGTCAAATGTTGCTGCATAATTTTGAATGATGTGCCTTTACATATTTATACTTTGCAGTACATAATAAGTTTGTTATGCTATAATGCAGAGCTTTTTTTGATGAATTATCACTTAAGTCCCACTTCCAATAATGAGTCTGAAACCTCAAGATCCATCTGTTGATTCCTTATGACAGAAACACCATTGCAGTCACATTGTTAAGTATACAAATGCTCCTTGACTTACAATGGGGCGATGTCCCAATAAACCCATCATAAGTTGAAAATATACTAAGAAGAAAATTTTTTCAAAACACCTAAACTACTGAACATCATAGCTTAGCTAAGCCTACCATAACAGTGTTCAGAACACTTACACTAGCCTAGAGTTGGGCAAAATCATCCAACAAAAACCCAGTTTTATAATAAAGTATTAAATGTCTCATGTAATTTATTGAATTCTCTACTGGAAGTAAAAGACAGAATGGTTGTGTGGGTACCCGAAGTACCATTTCTGCTGAATGCAAATTGGTTTCACATCATTGGAAAGATGAAAAATCTTAAGTCAAACCATCATAAGTCAGGGAATATCTGGACTTACAGAAAAATTGAAAATTAACATTTTTTGGTTAATACATAGTGAAAACTATGGAAGGAAGGAAAATATTTAATTATTACAAGTGTGTGATGTCATTTTTAATATTTTTTCCAAAGGCAACACCCAAATATGTATCCTACACAATAACTATTTTTTGAGAATTAGTCTCAATTCTTCAGCTAGCTTAAGTTTATCTTTTATGTTCTATATTCTGTGTCACCAGTTACTAAATCTTAATACTTTCCTCAGTGAATTGCATACACATTTAGTTCTTTTTCTCTCCCAGTATCAGCCTATGCCAACCATACCTAGATTACCAATATCTACTTCTAATTAATCTTAATCATTTCATCACCCATTTCTCAAATCAGAAACCTACTCCTACTATTTTCTAAAATATAAAGTCAAGATACTTTAAACTCACATAAAAAATTCTTTACAATCTGATTCTATACCATCTCTTTAAGTTTTTCCAACTTCAGCATTCATTATTTTCTCCAAAACTTTATTATCAAATGTTCCTCTCTTCATTTTTAAAATAATGTCTGTTGACTTCCAGGACATTCTCCCACCCTCCCTAATGTCTCATTTACCTGGCATGTATAGGTAAGCACCCTCTGTATGGCCTCATTCTTGGTGACTTGAAATATAAAGTTACACCTTTTAATGACTAAACCTGAGTTCTTCCACTTTCTCAACTCTAGTGTTCATATGTCCAGACTCCATGTCAGTTACTCACTAATCAGCCATATAGTGATTTTCATCATGACTCAAAACTCTTCAATATTCGATATCACACAATTTTAAATTCTGATGATATTCTTTTATCCTTCCACATCAAATTCTGATCATATTCCTATTCTTCTACATTTCTAGTGCAATTTTACTCTTATTCAGGCAAATGGCCAGATGGAAGTTTTGTTTTACGATTCATTGGAAATATGAATGTATTGCCTCCATTTTTGGACAATAGGGCCCATCAGGCACACTGAGGCCAAGGCCATTATATAAACAGCTATAGTTTATTAAGATGGTTAGGTATAATAGTGGATGTGCAGAATAAACTTGTCAAACTTTTGAATAAAATCTATCCTATCATCTATATGGGAAGGCCACCCCATTAAACCAGCCAACTAAATTACATTTACCCACTGTCATAAAGTCTGATCTTATGTTACATTTCAAATAAATATGTTAAAACACATTTTGATAAATACTATGAAAACACCGAGAAAAAAGAAATTATTAAACTTCTCTGGTATGCTAGATTCTAAAAACATTTCACTTAAGAATAAATAATGTGGATATCATATAATTAATTGTTCTATTTTCTATCGAGTGGTTAAAGTGGGTTAATGGATTCCTCACTACCTAATTTTTCATAATTCAATGTAATATGTAGCTAATATAATATAAAGCATGGTAATCTTTTGGAACATTTATATGTTTATCCTGTTTGTTAAGTGGCACAGCAATTTCCATAACACAGCTAATTGTTTGAGTTTGGATTAGTTATGGAACAAAAAGTACTCTATCAAATATAAATATATTAATAAAGCTTCATTAGACCAGGGCACTTGTCACCTTCTTCACTGTAGCCCATCCCTTCCACTCAATAGACAATGTCCATATATTCTTTGTGTTAGCATAAGATGGCACTATTTTATTTTTCAATACGTTGAGATTATTTTGAATAAAGTAAAAAAAAAATGACTAAAAAGCATATTTTCATGATTTTGCAATTGGTAAATAACTTTATTTATTTTATTTTATTTATTTATTTTTTTGAGACAGCGTGTTGTTCTGTTGCCCAGGCTGGAGTGCAGTGGCGCGATCTTACTGCAAGCTCTGCCTCCCGGGTTCACGCCATTCTCCTGCCTCAGCCTCCCGAGTAGCTGGGACTACAGACGCCCGCCACTACGCCAGGCTAATTTTTTCGTATTTTTAGTAGAGACGGGGTTTCACTGTGTTAGCCAGGATGGTCTGGATCTCCTGACCTCGTGATCTGCCCGCCTCCGCCTCCCAAAGTGCTGGGATTACAGGCGTGAGCCACCGTGCCTGGCCGGTAAATCACTTTATTTATGATCAACTTGAACATGAATATTTTTCACCACTTCTTAAATATACTTTCAGAAGTGGTGATAGGTTTTGTGTAAAATAAAATATATTTTCACAGCCTTCATTAAAAGAGATATTTTATTGTTAAGAAAACATGAAAATGTTTATGATGGCATGAGGTACTGAAATAGTATTTTATTATTTTATAGTTAGTTCTATATGTAATTATTTAACATTCTATGGATATATTTATGCATATGTTTATATATACACACATCATTTTGTTTTTACCATTTGTATTTAAATATATGAAAAGCACTTTCTTCCTCTGCATTAATGTTGAAGAAAAACTAGAGGAATAAGGGTGAAAAAGAATATATATTAGCTGAATTACTTACATGATAAAGACAGTTTTATTTTTCTTGGGAAAATAAGTAGTTATATGTCAATTTAAATTCAACATAAAATTTCTGATATATTCTTGATATTTCCATGACTATGTATTAGTTCATTTTTACACTACTATAAAAAATACCTGAGACTGGGTAATTTATAAAGGGCAGAGGTTTAATTAACTTACAGTTCTTCATGGCTGGGGAGGCTTCAGGAAACTTACAATCATAGCAAAACATGAAAGAGAAGCAAGTACCTTCTTCACAAGGCCACAGGAGAGAGGGAGATTGTGAAGGGGAAACTTCCATCTTTTTTTTTTTTTTTTTTGAGACGGAGTCTCGCTCTGTTGCCCAGGCTGGAGTGCAGTGGTGCGATCTTGGCTCACTGCAAGCTCCGCCTCCCAGATTCACACCATTCTCCTGCCTTAGCCTCCCGAGTAGCTGGGACTACAGGCGCCCGCCACCACGCACGGCTAATTTTTTTGTGTTTTTAGTAGAGATTTCACCATGTTAGCCGGGATGCTCCCGATCTCCTGACCTCATGATCCGCCCGCCTCTGCCTCTCAAAATGCTGGGATTACAGGCGTGAGTGAGCCACCGCGCCGGGCCGAAACTTCCACTTTTAAAACCATCAGATCTTGTGAGAGCTCTCTCACTATCACAAGAACAGCATGGGGGAGATTGTTACCATGATCTGATCACCTCCCATCAGGTTCCTCCCTTGACACATGGGTGTTACAATTAGAGATGAGATTTTTTGAGTGGAAACACAGAGCCAAACCGTAAAATTCCACCCCAGTCCATCCCAATTCTCATGTCTTTTTCACATTTCAAAACCAATCATGCCTTCCCAACAGTCCCCCAATGTCTTAACTCATTCCTAGTAAGTTAACTTAACTAATGCTTAAGCATTAACTTAAAAGTCCAAGTCCAAAGCCTTATCTGAGACAAGGCAAGTCCCTTCCACCTATAAGTCTGTAAAATCAAAAATGAATTAGTTACTTCCAAGGTACAATGAAGGTACAGGCATTGGGTAAATGTTTCCATTCCACATGGGAGAAATTGGCCAAAACAAATGGGCCAGAGGCTCCATGCAAGTCCTTAACCCAGCCAGACAGTCATTAAATATTAAAAATCCAAAATCATCTCCTTTGATTCCATGTCTCACATCCATGGCACACTGAAGATAAAAGGGGTGGGCTCCCATGGCCTTGGGCAGCTCCATACTGTGACTCTGCAGGGTACAGTCCCTACAGCTGCTTTCATGGGCTGGCAATGGAGTGCCTGTGGCTTTTTCAGGTGCATAGTGCAAGCTGTTGGTGGATCTACCTTTATGAGGTCTGGAGGATGGTAGCCCTTTTCTAACAGCTCCACTAGGCAGTGTCCCAGTGGGGACTCTGTGTGGAGGCTCCAACCCTACATTTCCCCTCCACTGTCCTAGCAGAGGTTCTCCATGAGGGTTCCACCCCTGCAGCAGAGTTCTGCCTGGATATTCAGGCATTTTCATACATCCTCTAAAATCTAGGCAGAGGGTTCCCAAACCTCAACTCTTGTCTTCTGCACACCTGCAGGCCCAACACCACATGGCAGCCACCAAGACTTGGGGCTTGCACCTCTGAAGCAATGGCCCAAACTGTACACTGGCCTATTTTAGCCATGGCTGGAGCTGGAATGGCTGGGATGCAGAGCACAATGTCCCAAGGCTGCACAGAGCAGCAAGGCCCTGGACTCCACCCACAAAACCATTTTTCCCTCATAGGCCTCCATCTCTGTGATAGAAGGGGCTGCCAGGAAGATCTCTGACATGCCCTGCAGACATTTTACGCATTGTCTTGGCTATTAACATTCTGCTCCTCATTACTTTTGCAAATTTCTGCAGCCAGCTTGAATTCCTCCCCTGAAAATGGGTTTTTCTTTTCTGCCTCGTGGTCAGGCAGCAAATTTTCCAAATCTTTATGCTCTCTTTCCCTTTTAAACATAAGTTACAATTTCAAACCATCTCTGTGAATACATATAACTGAACACTTTCAGAATAAGCCAGGTCACTTCTTAAATGCTTTGCTGGTTAAAAATTTCTTCTGCCATATATCCTAAATCATCTCTCAAGTTAAGCATTCCACAGATCTCTAGGGCAGGGGCAAAATATCACCAGTCTCTTTGGTAAAGAATAGCATGAGTGACCTTTACTCCACTTCCCAATAAGTTATTCATCTCAATCTGAGAGCACCTCAGCCTGAACTTAATTGTCTATATCACTATTAGCATTTTGGTCAAAACCATTCAACAAGTCTTTAGGAAGTCCCAAACTTTCCCACATCTTCCTGTCTTCTTCTGAACCCTCCAAACTCTTCCAGCCTCTGCCTGTTCCCCAGTTCCAAAGCGGCTTCCACATTTTGAAGTTGTCTTTATAGCACACCCCACTATTCCATTACCAATTTCCTGTATTAGTCCATTTCACACTGCTATAAAAAATACTCAAGACTGGGTAATTTATAAAGGAAAGAGGTTTAATTGACTCATAGTTCCACATGGCTGGGGTAGGGGGGCTCAGAAAACTTAGAAGCATGGTGGAGCAGCAAGTACCTTCTTCATAATGTGGCAGGGAAAACAGAGTGTGCAGGGGAAACTGCCACCTTTAAAACCATCAGATCTTATGAGAACTTCTCACTATCACAAGAACAGCATGGGGGAAACTGCTCCCATAGTCCAATCATCTTTCTCTGGGTCCCTTTCTCAACATGTGAAGATTACCATTCAAGATGAGATTTGGGTAGGGATGCAGAGTCAAACCATATCAGACTATAAAAGTTTAAATTTCTTCTATGTCTTTTGACATAATATAAATTTTAAAATCTTAGAAATATTTTATATGGCATACATTCTATATCTATGTAACTAATAGTTTGAGATTCAACACATTACCTTAATAGAATTTTCATAGGAAGTTTCACTAGTTTTTTTTAAATATGTACTTATTATATATTTTAGGAAGAGTGATAAGAATTAGAAAGGTTTTAATTGATGGGACATATTTCTAGATTTTTAAATAATATTCTACATATGGTATGGATCCTTTAATATGAAAGATCAATAGTTTTCTGTTTTTTATATTTTCTTTTGTTGAATTTTAGTGATGGCCTGGTTTGCCTAAGCTAAGAATATATTGCTTATTCTTGACAATTTTATGTAATAAACTATAGTTTAAAATTATCAAATATTTGAAACAATTGTGTGGCATTTTATAACCATCATTCATAATCTTGGAAACCCTTTATGGTTATGTAACTTGATCCTCACTGTCCCAGTCTTTTAATAAAGAATTATCCAAATATGTCAGGTTAAAATATAACAATTGATTTCTTTATTTAATTATCATTTGCAAAAGCTTGACACATTCAATGTAATAGCTGTTTTTCTCACCAATCTCATCAATATTTGATAGAGACTTTCAAACATAAAGAAGATACACTAAGCATTGTAATTTTACCTTTTATCAATTTACGTTACTTAGCTTGAATACATAATAAGAATTGTTTTTCCTGTTTAATTACTTCCCATTTTCCCCCTTCTACCTGTGATTTCTTTCTTAGAGCATAACAAGTGCTGTAATTTGAATGTGCCCCCTCAAAGTTTGTGCTTTGGAAACAATCCCCAATGCAGTGGTGTTGGAAGGGAAAGCCTAATGGGAGGTGTTTAGAACTGTAAGGGTTCTGCCCTGAAGAACTGATGAATGCCACTACTACAGCAGTGGGTTCCTAATAAAAGGAAGAGTTTGGCCCACTCTTGCATTCTCTATAGCCCTATGTTTGCATTTCCTCCATGGGAAGCATGTTTGCATTTCCTCCAAGAAAGTCCTCACTAGATGACACCCGCTGTATTTTGGAGTCTGTAGCCTCTAGAACTGTGAGCCAATCAATTTCTGTTTATTGTAAATTATCCAATATCCTGTTAAAGTAGCATGAAATAGACTAAGAGGTCAAGGTTACAAAATGTAAACTTGGTGAAACAGAATATTATTTTATCAAAATCATAATATCTTATTTCATTACATCAAATAGTAATTGACCAAATGACTGTCTAAAAGACAGGCTCTGTCACCCAGGCTAGAGTGCTGTGGTGTGACCATAGCTCACTGCAGCCTCAAACTCCTGGGCTCAAGCGATCCTCCTGCTTCAGTCTTCTGGATAGCTGGGACTATACACATGCACCACCACACCCAGTTAATTTTTTAATTCTTCATATTATTTTTTGTATAAACAGGGTCTTGCTATGTTGCCCTGGCTGGTCTCAAAATCCTGCCCTCAAGTGATCCTCCTGCCTCAGCCTCCCAAAGTGTTGGGTTTATAGCTGCGAGCTACCATACTCTGCCAGAATTTTTTTATTTTTATTTTTGAGATAGGGTCTCACTCTGTTTCCCTGGTTGGAGTGCAGTGGCACAATCACTGCTCACTGCAACCTCAGCCTCTTGGGCTCAAGTGATCCTCCCACCTCAGCCTCCTGAATAGTTGGGACTGTAGGTGCACACCACCATGCCTGGCCAATGTTTTTTATTTTGGGTAGAGACAAAGGCTCATGACATTGCCCAGGTTGGTCTCAAACTCCTGAGCTCAAGTGATCCTTCTGCCTTGGCCTTCCAAAGTGCTGGGATTACAGTCATGAGCACTTGGTCAGAGAAATTCTTAAACGCACAAAATTGATGGACTAAAGATTGTAAACATTTTCTGAAACATTTTGTGTTTACAAAATGAGATGTTTAATAAATTTAAAGGCAATTTTACATGTGAGAAGTCAAAGACATGACGTGTGAGGCACATTGTAGTGCTTTTACAAAGATTGAAATTTTAGAATTATTTCTTTCTCAAATTATGACCCTGAGATATTTTACTTCCGGAATGATATGAGAAATATACTATTACCTTTGTTCCTGAGTATTTAACAGCAACATGCATTTCAGTAGATGGTACTAGTCTTTTGTTTGCACATCTTTAGATCAGTTGCAAAGCACTCTTCCTTTACTTTAGGAGTTTAGTGCTCATTTAAAAAGGATTACAACATGAACAAAAATGGAAAACTAAAATAATAAGTGGAAAACGAAGTAATTCAGTTCATCACCTCACTGTTTCAGAATGAAGATCTATAATAAACTATTTGGTTGCATTTGTGGTATAGCAATTAAAGTATTTTTAAATTTCTATCAGGTACAATCTCCCAGTCATTTTGTCTTTATATCAATATTTTCCACACCTCCACTCAGCTAAAATTTTGATTCAAGAACATAACACTTACATACAGTGATTTACCCCCAACAAACCTAATAACTATTCATAACATTTAAAAATACCTTGATTTTTCTCATTAACTTATCATCATTAGCTGTAGTAGCTCTTTCCTTCTGGGTAATGACAGCTGGCCACAAGAATAATAGATGAATACAACTATCTTTTATGATTTACTTCTAACTTGACCTTGAGATGTCTGTCTTGAGAGTCGTTATAAGCCAAGATAGACACTTTCTAGGGGAGCTATGACAGGGCAGAAGGTTAGATTTAGGTGTGTATGTCAGATGAGACACGTGAGGAAATAAAACTAAAATGTATGAAGCAGAAGAAATGTATTATTAACAAGTCCTAGAAAGGTTGGCGGTGCTGAAGGGAGGCCAGGAAGGCCAATAGGAAGTCTAGAGGTGGCAGGGAGCTCAATCAGTGAGTGAAGGGAGGGGGTAGAGAGAGAGAGAGAGAGAGAGAGAGAGAGAGAGAGAGAGAGAGAACCTGTGGGACTAAGCCTTTGTTAAGGTCCATGGCAGGCCATTATGCCTTAGACTTTCCAGAGGGAGTTGTGAATTGGCTGGTGTAATGAAAACACTCACAAAGATGAGAACTAATTTGCATGACTCTGGTGTTGACCTTTAGGTTTTGTTGTAGTCAGCAGCTGTGGGCTGTCTTGGGTTGTTTTGAGTTAATGAGATGAGGAACAAACAGGCTATATTGCAAACAACCATACAGGGAGGAGTTTCAGCTAGGCTAAGGGTGATGGTGTGTTACTAGGTTTCAAACTTACATCAGGCCTAGAAATGGATGCCAAGGCAGCAACTATTAATACATTAATAATTATCAATACATTAAACAAATTGATGACACCATTTCTGTCAGAATAATATTCTTCTAGTGAAAAATTTGAAAGAGTAAACACTCCAATTGGTCTATCTAGAATCAATTATAGGTTTCTAATCATTAACAGGGAAAATAATAATTTACAGAAAAATCTAAAATTTTCCCAAGAAGGTAATACTAACTGTTTTGTAACAGTTATCATTTCTACTATTGGAAAATCTATGAGATAGGCCTAAGGGGTCACTGGAGGCCCAAAAAGTGGTATATTAAGGGCATTAATTAGATACCAATGGAAAAAGATAATTAAGCGGCTTTATCTTGTGGATATATGTAAGCAATTATTAGACCTCCTGCCTTAACAAGGCCCAAAGAGTTATTACGAGAGTGACCATACATCCTAGTTTTCCTCGGAGAGTCTTAGTTTACAACTGTTATTCAGGTGTATTATTGGTAGTGCCTTCTTATCGTTTCAAAAGTGTTGGTTTTGGAAAATAAATTATGTGGTTACTCTAATATAACTCACAGAAGAACTGAGATTTTTGAGCTTGAAGGTCAAACTGTAATGGGGGGTATAAGATCAAATCTTCAAAGAGAGCATTAAATTTACCTGGTATATAATATATTGATAATAGTATGTAACTAATCAGATGTTAGAAATAAAAGTATGATTTACATTGACATGCAGTCAAAACTGTGTAATGGATTAGCTGGTGGTATAATTCAGAATAGAAGACAGAAGAAAATCAAAGGGATAAAGATATTTGAAACTGAATCTTCCATGCCTTATTTGAGTTGGAGCAAAGAATAGACAAGGGAAAAACTGGAACAGTGAAACAATAAGTTATTATTATGTACTCCAGGAGTTCCATTTGAGGCACTTGTGAGTGAGAGCAAATTGTCTCAACTTCAATCTTCACCTATATGACTAGGTGACAACACTTTGGGCAGTTTGCAATATGGGACCAAATCTTCAGCTTTGAGGCAATAGTCATAAACAATGCTATACAGCACTTAGCATGCAGCAACTCACCAGTATTAGCAGTCAGCATCATTAAACAGAGGATGAGCAGGAGTAATTCAGAGTGACTTGCTATATTTAGTTTATAGTTAGTCATGGCTCTTGGGTAGGAATAATGTTCCTGGCCTTAAAAGTTTCATGTTATTTATAAGCATGCAATACTACAGATTGGTGCTATTCAATAGAGTTCTCTTCAAGGTTAGGGATGTCCTAAGTCTGGAGCTATGGATAACTGAAAGAATGCAGAACAGAGGTAATGCTATCATATCAATAGAGAAGTGGGTCTTCCCTAGAAGAGATCAGCCTCTTAGTCACTCTTCCTCCACCCCCAAAAAGAGGAGGAAGAAAAGCCAGATGATATATGTCTATCTTATTTTCAATCTTTTGTAGATTCTATATCTCTTTATGCATCTGTGTTGGTCTGTCCTAACTCCTAGCAAGCATTCTCTCTCTCTGGTTCCATTTCATCCTGCTTTCCTGTGTTCAGGATGGAAAAAAAGAACAATTAACAATAACCGTATTTTATTAATGCCAATTTATGTAACTGAATAATTCAGCTACAGATAATACAAGAGTCTAGACCCTATAATTTAGGGTTTGGTTAGTTTTTTGTAGTAATGATAAACATGAGAGTAAATATCTTTAACTGGTAATCACCAACTGTTAACAAAAAACATAGAAAATTTCATTTTCTTGTGGTGAATATGATCATCATTATCATCTACAGTTTAGTACACACATATAGAAAAGGGAAAACAATGTTCTCCTACTTCATTGAATTCCTTAAGTGTTCTGTAGTTCCTGTCACTGACATGTACGCAGAAGGTGTACTCAGTACCTTCTCTGCACCTGTCATGGAAGTGTGAGAAATTTAAAAAAATTACATATATCTATCTCTATGTGATGTTGTGCCAGGAATAAAAATGATAAAAATTTCATGTAATCTTTTTTATATCATTTTGAGTGATACATATATGTTCTGAGGAAGAATAAATTTTATCTCCATAATGATAGTAAAACCACAATATCTTTGTAAGGACATCACTATTTCATTTTTTAAATGAAGGAGCTGAGGGACAAAGAGATTAAGTAACTTACATAATAAGGTCACATAGATTTGATTCATCCATTGAATCAATTTTTCTATGCTACATAACAAATCACTACACACTTAGCAGCTTTAAATAACAAAAGTTTATTATTTCATCATTTCTGTGAGTCATGAGTCCAGGTATCGTAGATTAATACCTTCTTCTACTCAGGGTCTCACCAGGCAGAAATTAAGCTGTCAGCCAGAGCTGCTGTCTCATTTGGAGCACTGGATCCTCTTCTAAGCTCATTGGTTGTTTGCAGAATGTATTTCTCTGGTGTTGTATGCTTGAGATCCCTGTTTTCTGACTAGTTATCAACCAGGGACTTCTCTCAGCTTCTGCAGGCTACCCTCCAGTCCTTGCCATGTAACCACCTCCTCACAATATGAAATCTATAGTCAAGAGGAAAGAAGCTCTCTCATGCTTCACTCTCTTTTAAGGACTCTCATGATTAGGTTAGACCCACACTGGGAAAGCTCTGTTTTGATGAACTCGAATTAAAAAGTAACATATCATAAGAGTTATATCTCATCATAATCACAGCTTCTTCCTCTGCTTACCACCACCACCACCACACACACACACACACACACACACACACACACACACACACATCCATAAGGTTGGTCATATAGGGTATGTATAATAGAGGGTGGGCAGTTTAGAGGCTGTCTTAGATTTCTTCTTGCCACACCCACTTACTGACTCTGCATTCCCTTCATTCTTCTACTCCTAAAATGCCCTGATGCTAAGGTATTATGAAGTTGAAGGTGGCATTCCCCAGGTTTTCATCCCCCTTGTTTGCTCTTGCCTGGTCTTCAGGGAGAGTAAACTGTGAGATAAAACTTGGGTGGAGGGTTATGCAAGTTCACTCTAAGTATCATATTAATAATCCACAAAAAACCCTATCTCACAAATCGTGGAGTTTTTCCAGGGTGTTTAGTTCATTCCTACGAAAATGCAACATTATCCATGGACCTGCAGTCTTAGAACTATTTTCATCAAAGCAAGTCAACATCTGATATTTAGGGATGCTGGTTTGTGACTTGTATTCTCATTCATAGGAAAATCCTATCAGTAATATGTGGAATACGTATTAGTAAGGGTTCTCCAGAGTGATAGAACTAAGAGGGTAGGTATAGATATCCCTATCTTTATCTCTATCTCTATCTCTATCTCTATCTCTATCTCTATCTCTATCTCTGTCTCTATCTATCTATCTATCTATCCATCTATTTACCTGTCTATCTCTATCTCTCTATCTCTATCTGTAGAGAGAGATATGTATAGACATACATATAGGCATATATATAGATGCAGATACAGATAAAGATATAGGTATAGATACAGATACAAGAGAGGGGATTTGTTGGGTGAATTAGCTCACATGATTATGGAGGCTTAGAAGTTACACAAGTCAATGGCAAACCGGAGACTCTGGGATGCTGGAAGTGTGGCTCCTTTTAAATCCAAATACTTCAAAACCAGAGAAGCCAATGGTTGAATTCTCAATCTGAAGCTGAAGGCCTGAGAATCCAGAGGCCTGAACTCTAAAGGATGAAAAGCCTGGAGTTCTAATGTCCAAGGGCAGTAGAAGGAGAGTGCCCCAGCTCCAGGGGGAGGGAGGGGGAGAGAGAGAGAGAGAGAGAGAGAGAGAGAGAGAGGAAATCACCTGTTCTCTCCTTTTTTTTATTCTATCTGGGCCCAGACCAACAGGATAGTGCCCACAAGCATTGAGGGCAGATCTCCACGCGGTACAGGGACACACATGCCAATCTCCTATGGAAACACCATCACAAGCATTCCAGAAGTAAGCTTGTCCAGCTCTCTAGGTATTCCTTAATCCAAGCAAGCTGACACCTAAAATTAACCATCATAGATGTGAATAACAGAATGATAGTCTCCCTCTTTCTGGCACTTATTTAAGCACATTTGTCATCCAGGTAGTTAGGCACTTGTGACTTACCATTCCCCTTCGCCCTCTTCTCTACCTCAGTCTCAAACTGCCCACCTACCTCACCCTCACTCTCCCATTGCCAGTGGAGATAAGCAGAATAAGCACACTTCTTGAAAGTAAAGACCAGTAACCCTAACACAGCTCTTTACAAAGTATAGGATTTTCTGTTGGAATGTAAGTTTCATGAGAACTGACCTTGGCTGTTTTATATACTGCCCAGCACAAGATCTGGCACTCAATAAATATTGATGGAATAAATTACAGATCTAAATAAATATTGAATTGAATATTATTGTTGTGCTAATTCTAAGAGTAAAACAATGAATTCATTTTGGTCCTGGAAAGGAGGAAAAAAATTCTCATCACAATTTCAGCTACAAAATCTGCTTTCTAAATATTGGTGTATTTCAGCTTTTTATTCGGCAGAATTTTAAAATTTTATTTTTTAATATACTTTATTTAGTTTTCTACAAATGTAAGATCTCACAGTCTTAAGAAAATTCAAAATATGTAAGAATTATGATTTTTAAAACAGCAATCTACTCCTTGTCCTTTCTTTTTTGTTTTTTTTTGCCTAGTATATTGTTACTTCAAACAGTAAAATGTGAAATGTTCTGTTTGGTTGCAAAATGCAAATCAAATCGATTAATATTCATCTCATAACTTCCATTTTCTAGGAAGCATCTTGGCAATTAATTTATTTTCTCTTTTTGGGGGGAGGCAGCATTAATGAAATCATCCCAACTTTTGTAAAAAGCAAAAATGCTAGGTGATAAAGGTGGACAACTATATGATGAGTTAGTCACAAATTTTTTATGTAAATTTTACATAGAGGGACAAACTTGTGATTTGTAGTTTAATACAACAAAAGAAAAGTTTATAATAAAACTTACAACACCATAACAAAAGTATCTAACACATCTTTAAGAGTTAAAGTTAAACTTAACTACCAGAACAGAGAAAAACCCTGGCTTTAAAACATTTCTCCATATATCTGCATTGATCATATATCCTATGATTTATTTTCACTGTTGGGCTTGCTAAAAGTAATTCATCCTAAGATTTTATCAACTATAGCATGTCTATTTTTGCCATCATGGAAACTGCATAAAAATTAGAATCTTGATTAATTTCTTTCAGCAACCAAAAAATAGTGGTCAAATCTCAGGTCTATTTAGAATAGTAGATAATTTAATAGGGCTGATACATGTCATGCCTGAATGGATTTTTTTTTTTAACAATCACTTCAAAATACTTCACACATTGGAAATGTCATTTTTGGATTTGAGAACAAAGACAGTTCATTTATTAAGAAAATAACAACCAGCCTATAAATCACATAAGCTATAATTTTAAAAGCCACCCACTCTCCCCACAATGATTTTGTTCTTTGTTTTTAATTCTATGGTTTTCCTACAGGTCAACCAATTACTGAGCAGTTCAGCTAGAGAATCAGTAAAATGGCTTCTGAGCATCATTTAATGAAAATGCCCTTTGATCTAAAAAAGAATTCAAATGCAATCACACAGAGGGAACAAACCAATTTATTAGATGATTTTTAAGTAAACTTTTGGAATTAAGTTAAAGCCCCAGACTAGGAAAAAAAAAAAAAAAAACAGGTGGCTCTACCAGTTCTACTGCAAAAGTCCTGTGATGTTTGGCAAAATCATCTCTCAAATTCGTTTTCTCACATCTAAAAAAGGAATAATAATTTCTACCACAGTACCTTCACAGTGATGTTGTCAAAATTAATTAAGGTCAGAAATATATGAGGCTTTTTAAACATCAATGTGTTTTATTCAATTTGTCTCAGACCAGTCAGTGCACATGAATATTGCGTATAAACCGAAAGTTCACTGGTATTTTCAACGAAGAGATGTTGTGGAACATTCATAAATCATCCTCTGTTTAATGTAATGTTATGATAGTGACTTTTAATTATACTCAAAGGATACATATCAATTATATTTTCTGGAAAAAAGTTACTTCTCTGTAATTTGTTATTTCTTTGTCTTTTTGGTAACTAAACCATGTATCCAAGTACTACAATGGGTCGTAGTAAGATCGTCTAGCATTCTTTGAGAAAGGTAAAATATCCTCCACTAAAATATAATTAATTTTTATAATTATACTTACACATTTATGTGTCCTTTTAAAGACTATTTTAAGAGTAAAATAAATAGTCACTCTCTGAAATTATTTTAAAATTACATGCAGTTATCAATAAAATTTATTTTCGTAGTCAGAAACTTTCTAAAACCTCTCCAACCTGTCTCTCCTTTTTACTGCATGACATGTGAAGTAGCACAGCTTATGTTAAAGAGAGTTTACTCAAGAATCACAGGTTTACCATGATTTTTTCTTAATTATGTACTTTGCTTATTCTGAAGGCCTATTTCACTATTGCTACAAGGTTGCCAATATCTATGCTATTCTCAGTGCCTGGTTCAAAATAATACTAAACTTTGGAAGAATATAACAATTTGGCTGTCTTTTTTAACATATTTTTTTGTCCAGGCACATTTTTAAAATATGGAAAAGAAAACCATTACGTAATTTATGTAGCTTCTTTCTTGTCTGCTTCCTCTCTTTTTCTCTATCAACTTGGGTTGTACAGAAATCCTCCCTCATCTGTGGGAGATAAGTTCCAGTACACTCAGGGGATGCCTGAAACCATGAAGAATATTGAATCCTATATATACTATGTTTTTTCCTATGCATACATACATAGGATAAAGTTTAACTTAGAAATTAGGCACAGTAAGAGATTAACAAAAATAATTATAAAATAGAACAACCATAACAGCATACTATAATAAAAGTTATGTGAAAGCTGTCTGTCTCAAAATATCTTGTTGTATTATATGCATCTATTTTTGGACTGCAGTTGACCACAGCTAACTGAAACTATGGGAAGAAAAACTATGGATCAAATGAGGCTAGTCTATAATGTTTCCTTTAATTAAAAATCCATTTCAATTCCACTTAGCAATATGGGAAGTAACTGGCCAATTTTTGTGAAAAATGACATTTTGATAACAGTAAACTAAATATCTAGAACCAGAAACTTTTAACTTATTTTTTCTGACAAAATATGTATGTGTAAAAAATGATATTTTTGAAAGCTAGGAAATAATAGCCATACATATACAGTATACTCAATCCAGTTAAATATTACATAAAATTTATTGTAATTTTTTGTAATTATAAATGTTGCAATTATGATAACCCCAAGTGCAAGTAAAAATAACTTTCAAAAATATTTTATTTCTTGTATTTTTTTGCACTTTGTCTTGTACTTTTTATTCTGTTAATAAACTCAGTTTACCCTTTTATGCTAAGATTTCAATTAAGGAAAACCTTTGGATATAAATATGATGGGATTCAAACATCTCATTCAACACTTAATACATAGAATATTTTTAGTTATACCATGATTTATAATATTCATTAACTTGAAAATAATTTATTGTCCCATCACTTTGTATTTAATGAAAAAAGTCAGCATTTCTGTCTTCAGTCTTCACATGCTTTTGTCAATTATCAGAATTATACTTTATATTTATATTTGTATATATACATATGTATTTATATTTACATTTGTATATTTGTATTTGTATTTTTGTATTGACTCTTGAAAACATGTTTGAACTGTAGGACCACTTATGCATACATTTTTTAAAAATAAATGTATTGGACAACTTTTTTGAGATTTGTGACGATTTTTTAAAAAATTTGCAGATAAACCATGAAGCCTAGAAATATTGAAAACACTAAGAAAAAGTTAGGTATGTAGTGAATGCATAAAATATATGTACATATCAGTCTATTTTATTATTTACTACCATAAAGTATATACAAATCTATTATAAAAAGTTAAAATTTGTCAAAACTTATGCACACAAATGCTTAGAAGACCCTACATGGTGCCATTCTCAGTGTAGTAGCAAGAAATATAAATACATGTAAAGATGTAGTATTAAATCACAACTGCATAAAATTAACTGTAGTACATAATGCACTATTGTAATAATTTTGTAGCAACTTCTTGTTATTGTGGTGACCTCAAGTATTGCTAGTACCTACTTAAAAATGCTATATGGTGCTAATCATCTCCGCATGAGCTGTTTTGTCTCTCAAATAAATTGCATCACAGTAGAAAGTGATCTTTGGAAGTTCTTACGTGTTTTTTTACTGTGTTTAGTGCAATACAATAAATCCTGAAAAATACCATGGGAAACATAAGAAATGCAACTAGTAACATGGAAGTGCCCCCAAGAGGTAAAGTAAAGTAAAGTAAGGACCTTACAAAAAAAGTTAAATTGTTTGATATGTGCTTTTGTTTGAGATCTGCAGCTGCAGCTCCCCACCATTTCAAGATAAATAAATTCAGAATAAGGACTATTGTTAAAAATGAAAAGAAAACTAGTGAAGTTATTGCTGCAGCTATTCCAGCAGGTGCAAAAAACGTGCACTTTTTGTTAAATGTCTTTTTATTGTGCATTGAAAATGCAGCTTTTATGTGAGTAAAGGGTTGCTATAAGAAAAGTATACCTATATATGTGATATGATTTGAGAAAAAGTGAAATCATTCTATGACAACTTAAAGCTAAAGGAAGGTAATGGATCTAAAACTGGAGAATGTAATGCCAGCTAAGGATGGTTTGATAACCTAATAAAGAGGTTTTACTGTAAAAAATATCAAGATAAGAGGAGAAGCAGCTTCTGCTGACCAAGATCTGAGATGCTATTAATGAAATCATTGAGAAGAAAGGATATCTGCCTGAAAAGGTTTTTAATGCAGACAGAAGTACCCCATTCTAGAAAACTATGCCACAAAGGGCATTTATTAGTAAGAAAGGGAAGGCACCAGGATTTAAGGCAGGAAGGAAGAGGCTAACTCTACAATTTTGTGAAAATGCTTCAGGTTAATGATCAGGATTGCCCTTATTTGTAAAGCTGCTAAGCACCCATTATTGAAGGAAAATAATAAACACCAGCTGCCAGCCTATCAGTTGTACAAAAGGAAGACATGGACAAAGAGAATCCTTTTTCTACATTGGTTCTATGGATGCTTTTTCTGTGAAGTCCCTTACCTTGCCAATAAGGGACTGACTTTTAAACTTATTTTGTATGGGACAATGCCCATGGCCACACAGAATCCTATGCGTTCAACACCAGAGGTGTCAAAGTGGTCTATTTGCTCCCAAACACAGTTTCTAATTCAGCCTCTAGATTTGGGAGTCATAAGAACTTTTAAAGGTCATTACAAATAATACTCTGTAAAACAGATTGTCAATTCTGCGGAAGAGAACCCCAGGAGAGCAAATATGAAACTCTGGAAAGACTGTACCACTGAAGATGTCATCATTGTTATAGAAAAAGTAGTGAAACTATCATGCTCAAAACAATAAATTCCTTCTGAAGATAACTGAGTTCAGATGTTGTACATGATTTCACAGGCTTTACAACAAGGCTAATCAAGGAAATAATGAAAGAGATTTTGGATATGGCAAAAAAATATGTTGGGGGATGATTTCAAGATATGAATCCTGGAGAAATTCAAGAGTTAGTAGACATCACAGCAGAGGAATGAACAGAGGATGACTTGATGGACACAAATGCTTAGGATCAGTGACAAATGATAAGGAAGATGTAGAAGAAACAGTGTCAGAAAGCAAATTACATTAGATAGTCTCACAGAAGAGTTTCAATTATATAAGACTGCTTTTTACTTGTTTTGCAACACAAATCTTTCTATGATATAGGCACTGAAGCTAAAATAAATGGTAGAAGTATTGTACTACATAGAAATATTTTTAGAGAAGTAAAAAAGTCAGACAGAAATTATAATGTATTTCAACAAGTTTACATTAAGTGTATCTGCCTCTTCTGCTTCCCCATCCACTTACTCTACCTCTTCTACCTCTGCCACCCCTGAGACACCAAGACCCAATCCCTCATGTTCTTCCTCTTCCTCAGACTACTCAGAATGAAGATGATGAGGATGAAGACCTTTATGATGATTCACTTCCACTTAATGAAAAGTAAATAAATTTTTTCTTCCTTATAATTTTCTTACTTTTAATTTTCTGTAGTTTACTGTAATAATACTATATGAAATACATGTAACATATAAAATATGTGTTAACTGACTATGTTATCAGTAAAGCTTCTAGTCAACAGTAGGCTATTAGAAGTTAAATTTTGGGGGAGACAAAAGTTATATGCAGATTTTTTACTACACTGGGTGAGTGCACCCCTAATTCTTGTTCTGTTCTATGGTCAGCTGTATAACACAGACTAAAAGAATTGTGTAGCATATTCTTTTATTTGACTATTCTGGTCTATCAGCATAATCAAAATAGGTAACTATTGTTAAACACACCTCTGATGCCATAAATATCTTTACTCAAATAAAGGGCATTTTTAACTTCTCAATTTGTGTCATCTTATGAGTATTTCTTGAATATGTCCCAGTGACTGTTGATCTGATCCGGGGTTCTAGCTAAAATAACAGTTAGCTATTTCTGGCATCTTGATAAATATTGCATGTCTCTTTATACTGGCAACCAGAAAGCTTCTGGTTCTATTTCTATTGCACTATAGATAACTGTCTCATCCCCTGAGATTTTTCTTATAGGCCCCAACATGATTTTTGTATGCCAAATTATTACAAATATACATATAATTTTTTAGAAAACTATCTGGCTCTTTTTGCCAGATTTAACTTAGAAGTAAATGGATACAAATTTTGTAATACAGATTGAATGGTTCTAAACTAGCACAGCTTTAAGATGCATGTGCACCCTGATACTACCATCCATAGTGATACGGTTTGGCTTTGTGTCCCCACCCAAATCTCATCTCGAATTGTAACCCCCATGTGTTGAGGGAGGGACCTTATGGGAGGTGATTGGATCATGGGGGTAGTTTCTCCATGCTGTTCTCATGATAGTGAATGAGTTCTCATAAGATCTAATGGTTTAAAATCATGGCACTTCCTTTTGCTCTCTCTTTCTCCTGCCATGTGAGGTGTGCCTTGCTTCCCCTTCCCCTTCTGCTATGACTGTAAGTTTCCTAAGGCCTCCTCAGCTATGCAGAACTGTGAGTCAATTAACCTTCTTTCTTCATAAATTACCCAGTCTCAGGTGGTGCTCTATAGCAGTGTGAAAATGGACTAACACGCATAGTAAGCACAGTCGCTACTGTGTTGGAGAAATTTCAGGTTTTATAAACACTTCTGACTCTCAAGTTACTTACACTTAAGTTCTCAGTATGTGTCAATTCCATACTTTTAATTAAAAGTACTGTTATTGCCTACAAATGTGAAAGAATAAAATAACATTTCAGTGAGTCTTATTTAATAATTTTCTAATGAGCTTTCATAAATCTAATCCAGACATTAGAAAAACTACATTAGGCAGGGTGAGGTGGCTCATGCCTGTAATCTCAGCACTTTGGGAGGCCAAGGCAGGTGGATCATGAGGTCAAGAGATCGAGACCATCCTGGCGAGCATGGTGAAACCCTATCTCTACTAAAAATACAAAAATTAACTGGGTGTTGTGGCGCATGCCTGTAGTCCCAGCGACTTAGGAGGCTGAAGCAGGAGAATCACTTGAATCTGGGAAGCAGAGGTTGCAGTGAGCAAAGATCACACCACTGCACTCCAACCTGGCGACAGAGCGAGACTCTGTCTCAAAATAAAATAAAATAAAATAAAATTACACTAGGCAATGGTAACAGTGTATGGACTTTAAAATTATAGAGATCTGCATTTTAATCTCAGCTCTACCATCTGTAATCTTGCCATCTTACACATGTTAGATAGTTTTTCTGAGTCTTAGATTTTTCATGTGTGTAATGGAATTTGAAAAGCAACTTTTTATGGTGTTTGTATAAATTAAAAAGTACACACACATACACACACATAAATTAGTGTACAATAGTTTTATTAAAACTATCTGCCTGTCCTCAGAAGTAGCAACACTACTCATGGTAGATATCCTTAATTTATCTGTCCTTCAAACCACCAGAGTCATCTGTTTGTACTACGGCCCCTGATTTGAGTTTGAGGTAAACATTCTGGATATACTCACTATAGCAGGGCCATCAAGATTCTAGGGCTTGTGACATGAGGAAATACTGTTATGGGCTAAATTGTATTCCCTCAAAATTCTTATTTTGATGTACTAACTTCCAGTACCTCAGAATGTGACTATTTGGAGATAAGCTATTTAGAGATAGTTAAGGTAAAATGAGGTCATTTGGGTAAGATCTATTCCAATATTACTGGTGTCTTTATAAGAAGAGGAGATTAAGATACAGACAACGTGATAGAGGGATGAACAGGTGAGGACAGAGAGAAGGTGGTCATCTGCAAACCAGGAGAGAAGCTTCAGGAAAGTCAAACCTACTGAGATCTTGACCATGGATTTCCATCCTTCAAAACCGTAAGAAAGTAAATTTCTGTTGTTTAGGCCACTTCGTGTCTGTTATTTTGTTTTGCAGTTCTAGAAAACGAATACAACTATATATTGAAGCAAAGAGATTTGGTTTATGGCTTATAACATCTGAAGGGAGGGTCTATTCTCATTACAAGCTGATGCCTATAACTCAGATAGATACTGCCAGCTTCTCACAGAATTATGGCTAATGTTGGCGGGGTGCGGTGGCTCATGCCTGTAATCCCAGCACTTTGGGAGGCTCAGGTGGGTGGATCATGAGGTCATGAGATTGAGACCATCCTGGCCAACATGGTGAACCCCCGTCTCTATTAAACTACAAAAAATTAGCCGGGCATGGTGGTGTGCACCTGTACTCCCAGCTACTCGGGAGGCTGAGGCAGGGGAATCACTTGAATCCAGGAGGCGGAAGTTGCAGTGAGCCGAGATATTGCCACTGCACTCCAGCCTGGCGACAGGGCAAGCTTCCGTCTCAAAAAAAAAAAAAAAAAAAAAAAAAAAAAAAGAATTATGGCTAATGTTCATTGATTGCACTAAAAAATAAGAGTGAATAAAAACCAAACTTTTTAAAACCACATCTTGTGCAATCAACATCTTTAATACCAGCAATAGACAAAGCAGAACTCAGAATAGCAGAATACCAGGTAACATCTAGTATATGATTCAATAATGTAAGCCCACAATTAGTGCATTGATGTGAAGCCATAAAAATAGGAGACAAAGTAAATGCCAAGTATTTTGTTTGAAAATTTTGAATGAATTTGTTAGTTCTAATAATATAGAGAATACAATTATGTGTAATTACAGTTTATATTGATTATGGAACATTTATCTAACTTATTAGACTTGAGTTGGCCAAAGAGCATGTCCATAGAGTTGGTCATGAGGATCACAAAGATATTAAAATGTGTATGTAGCTGATTTGGCAATAATTTGATTTTGACTTAGCTATTAATCCAGTATATATTTAGAAATAAATGATTCTAGTAACTCTACATGGATGAACAGCCTAATGAAATAAAGTAGTCAAATATTGGCATTATTCCTCATTCATGAAAAGTTAAAAAAGGCCTTTTTAACTAACAGTATGTTTGATTGGAAAAACACAAGGTCTCTGAAGCCAAGTACACAGCATGAGAGGCTACTGGGCTAAAAAAAAAAAAAAAGAAAAAGAACAAAGAAGCAGGGCTAATCAAGAACAGATTAGTGTATTAGCGGAAGTTTTTCATTGGAAATGCTCAAGCTATCTTTCCTCTCCTCTTATGGCCATGTTGGTGATATTTGACTTCTGTTCACCAATGACTAGTGCCCAAATGTTTTTGCAGTTTGCATTCATGCATTTTGAATTCATTTTTTCATTCAGTTAGTGGTTATTGAGCCCTTGTTATATATCAGTCACTCTCAGCATTCCAAATGTTAAGGGATTTGAAATAGTACAGAAAAAATTCTGTCATAATAGAGCTAAACTGGCCTTGTTGCTAACACTAAAATATGCCAGTCATTCCTATTTCAGGCCATTTACTCTCATGAACATCTCTGCCCATACCACTTTGTGCTCACATCTTCCAATCTCATTTCCATTTTTTCAGGTCTCCCTACATATTATTCATATGATACTTCAATGAGTATGAGTACTGAGAGCAAACAGCAGATCTCATAGGAGAAAAAGTGAGTTCCATAATGTGGACTAAACTTTTTAGCTTAGAATATAGTTTGAGCTTTTAGAAGATCTTGTGAAATAGAACTGATCTCAGAGTAACCGTTCCTTTGTCTCCATTTCTGCTATTTTTATGATTTAATTACTTTCCAACTTTTTTCCACTACTGCAGTTGGTACTGAAGGCAATACAGTAACACAGTGCTTAAGAGTATGGACTCTGGAGCCAAACTGCTGGGTTCAACTTGCTACGTGATCTTGGTCAACTTTCTTTATCTCTCTGTACTTCAGTTTTCCACATCTGTAGGATTTGGAAGGATCTTACAATACTTGTAGGATTGCTGTGATAATTGAATGAGATGGCATATGAAATGATCTTTGCATAGTCTCTGGCTACATATGTCTATACTCCTATTACAATTAATAATTCATTCCTCTCTCTTCTTTTTTGCTCCTTCCGTGTTTTCCTTTCATTGGCAACCGCTTCTGCTTGACAGATTTTACTTAATACCTTCTTTGTATATTTTTAGCTTTCTGCCTACCCCATATCCTGTCCTACTACCAATATGTCTTTATTTATCCATCCCTTTAAAATGATTGATCATTATTTAATCACCATCATCCATGTTTGGGAAATGGTGGGTGAGGGGCAGACCTTGTTTCTCCAGTTTACTTCTGATCTTTTGTAACTAAGGAGGCTAAGCTATATGGCTTCCCATTATAAATGTTACTGCAGCCCACCAATAGGCTTCTCTCCAAGGTGTCCACTACTCAGGAGTGACACACATTATCAGAAATCTAAATAAAGGTTGTAAGTACTGATTTTTTGACTCCTATTACTTAGAAAAGACTATAGCTATGTTGGAGATACCCCTTAAAGAAAGAAATGTCAGAAAACTAAGAAATAAAAGTGAATAAATAGGAAATTAGATTGGAATAAAACAAAATGGGAAGCCTGATTTTTCCTCAGAAAAAGTAAGTTATGTTTCCACAGCTGGAGGCTAAAAACAGCTGCATTATCTATAGCCCATTGAATGGCACTCAGTCATTAATATTTTACTCATGTACACACTTCATTTTGATGCAATTTTCCTGTGTAACTAGCCAGAATCATTTGCAGGATATTTAACAAAAATGATGAAAATACTCAGCTGCATCTGTTCATCATTTGGCTAACCACATTTTTACATAAATTTAACATGGGCTTAAGCCATCACCATTATTTTTCTCATCCTTTCTCTTCACTGTTCAAATCTGAATGCCAAATTTTATTATTATTCAGGTATGCAATCACAGTACCATCCCAGCAATCAAGTCAAAAACAGCAAAGCAAAATTGAAAAAATGTTTTCTAAAACTGCAGTCACGTACGATACTTCCCTAAGACAACAAGCAGTGGCTGCTGCAATGACAAACAGCTTTAATAATGAAAAGAGACTCAGTTTTACCTCACAGATGCGGTTTAATTTTCTTCTTCCTTATTAGAATCCTCACTACCTCTCCTCCTCCACTCTGCCCCCAGTTATAAAAATGAGTTGGCAAATACAACAGTTCTATTCATTCTCAGTTTAATATACAATTTCTCATATACACAAAAGGGTGAAATGGTTTATAAAAACATTGGCTGGTAATGATGACAGTAGAATCTAATTCCCTCAGGTGCTCACTTAATACTTATCTCTCTGCTGGAGAGTGTAATAAGGTCGTCAAGATTATTGAAGGTGACAGGGCACCAGGCTCAGATTAATTACATCACAGAATTCAGAAGGAATTAGAAAAAGCAACAATACCACCTCTGGCAAATGCATATATTTTTTATAGTTCTCTAAGGACTTTCAGTGTAATATAATACAAATGAGCAAAAAATAGCTAATGCAATTGATTTGTAGGTTTTGTGATACAAATTCTGAAAGATTAATTATTCTGAGAATAAGAAATCACCAGCCGTCATAATTTGAAAGAAAAATACTCAGAGTGGAATATCTTAAGTAAGTGATGAATAATTGAAGGGTAAGTAAAAGGTACTAACATGTGTGAATCTTTCTCCTACCATATTCCAGAAAATTTATCTTCATTGCATCGTTTAATTCTCACAAACATGCAAAATAGATGTTATCCTTTAAAAGATGGAAACAGGTTGAAATATGTTAAGGATTTTTCCCAAAATTTAATATCTAGTGAATAGTTATCAGCCTTTAAATTTATCCCCCAAATCCCAAACTCTTTCCTCAAACATAGGGAACACCAGTGCATTATTCTTGAAAACTGTCCATGTTAGATAGTGAAACACTCACATGGAAATCACGGGGAAAACACATATGATTAAAGAATATGAGAACAAAATTGGACAATCAGAGGTTAACTAAATTTAAATCGACAAAGAGAAGGGACATGAGACCAAAGTTACTTGCCTGAAATTCCTTAATGCTTCCTGCTTAGGTGAATAATTCCAGGAACAACCCTAACCACATACTGATAATGACTATTTGGAGATACACTGTAGCCTTTTGCCAATCATTTATTAGCTTATCACTGTTAACAAATGGTATTTGTATGTGAACAGACTGAAACCCCCTTGCTGTGCCTCCTCATTTTGCCTTTAAAAATCTGCTTATAACTGCCCCAACTAACCGCATTTCTAAAGAAGCTTGGAAGTATTTGTTGGGTTACTGCTCTGAATTTTGGCCCAAATTAACTCTCTACTTATATCAATTTTGCCTCAGTTTCTTTCTTTAGGTTGACATACCCATCTATCTTGAGCACCTTCCTTAAATAATGCTAGAGATTTTATATATATTAATTTCATTAAAACATAAGAAATTTTAAGAGTTTGATGAGTCACTTATAGTTAGCTTGGGGAGATGT